>NC_000002.12:204459314-204762345 GCF_000001405.40 Homo sapiens | reverse complement strand
GGACAGGAGATCGAGACCATCCTGACTAACATGGTGAAACCCCATCTCTACAAAAAATTAGCTGGGCATGGTGGCACGTGCCTGTACTCCCACCTACTCAGGAGGCTGAGGCAGGAGAATCACTTGAACCTGGGAGGCAGAGGTTGCAGTCAGCCGAGATTGTGCCACTGCACTCCGACTTGGGTGACAGAGCAAGATTCCATCTCAAAAAAAAAAAAAAAAAAAAAAATAGAAAAAGAAGGAAAAGAAAAGAAAATCTTTATCATTCAATATATAAGCATTATCTGATTTTTTTTAAAAAGAAAATTGTGGGCTCAATGGCAAGAAGAGACATTTTCCTTAGATATTAAAGACAATGACAGTATCCAACCCAGGAGCATAAAAAAGCAAAAGCTGATTTTTGAAATTGAAAGCCTGATTCATAAAAATATCATGACACTAGGGCAACATATATAATGCATATTATAACTATACCACGGACTACATTTGTGTTTTAAAATATAAAATTAAAACAAGGCTTATAACTATTTACATGTCAGATAAATCACTGTTTGACATGGTCTTTCATTAAAGCCAAAATAAAGGAAAATTTCTTCTCTTAACATAAAATCCAGATGAACATTCAAAGACGTAAGCTTTCTAAGCAAAGATTTTTATATTGTAATACATCTAAACTGTGATAATTGAAGATATCATGGTAAGAAATTACATTTCAAAGAAACCATGAAAAATCTATTTTTTTTTTTTGTAATTTTTAGGTAGAAATGCAAGCTCCCCTTATTTAAAAAAAAACAACTATGGGTGAATTTAATAAATGGGAAAATATAGCCAACCCAGAAGTGGCCACACAACTGAATTCACATTCTTGAATCCAATTCCTTAAAAGCCACACAGCTTAAGGACTGATTGAGCAACTTGACATTATTAATATCTGCCTCTGCTCTCAACTTAGGAGACTATCTTGGTGACTACTCTTTCAGCAAGGAAACTGAATGGTGTGCCTTTTAGTGATCTGTATTCTAACAAGGATCATAAAATGTGGTTATTCCCATTTTTAATTACTGAACCTTAATGAAGCTGAAGGTTTGAGAAGATGATGAAACACTAAAATAAATTCTTTAGAATTTTGATCTGTTGGCTAAAATTCAATCCCATGAAAGTCATCCTTGGCCATACAATGATTGTGGACATTGGAGTTAGGTTTGCATCCCAGCTCCACCCCTAACAAGTTTGTGTCATCACTGGCCAAGTTACTTAATCTGTTGGAGTTTTACTCTTGTCAGCCATAAATGCAATAATAACCCTTTAAAGGTTCTATTGTAAAGATTAAATAAAAGAATATCTGTAAAATGTCTAGTGCAAATACTGGCATATAGAAAATAGTCAACAAATGTGGCAGCTATTAAGATGCTCTTCTGCAACAGGTAAAAAGAAATATCCTTGAACAGAAGTAACTTCTAAATAGAAAGTGAACAACTTCAGTTTCACAATTCCATGTTGAAAGTACTACTTCACTTGAATTAATGATGGATAATGCAAATTTTGAAAAGGAGAGACATTTTATAGCACAGTACTTTCACCTACGAAAAGTAAATAATTTTCTATTAATATACCTAACACAATAAATATTTCTTCAAACTCTAAAGAACATAGAGCTTTCCACACCTTCCACCACTCTCAAAAATTGGCAAGGTATTTAAAAGAGAGATAAGTTTAATAATGAACCAGGAAAACTGTATTTGCCTCAAAGTAAAGGGTTCCCAAGAAGTTGAAACTTCCTTATTAATAAAACAGTTTCAATATATTAAAAGAAAAACTACAGGAGCCAGATATGAAATGTAATTTGTAAAGTCATGATTTTTTAATCACAATATAATAAAATACTGCTCAATGTCAGTTTTTCATTATATAAGCTATAATTTCTTCTGACTTTATGAAATATTATACTACATATGTTAAGCTTTTTGTCATGATTTATTCCATTGTTTGTATACAAGAGAAAATCCCCACAAAAATCAATACAAGCAAAAATGCTTTTAACACGATTCAAAAATAAATATTAATTTCATGTATATCAACTCTTCATATCACTATTTCTAATGAAAATTCATGTATTCTTCCTCTTTGAGTATGTTACAACCCACTAAGGTGAAAAATATCATACAAGCATTATTTCTAGGACTTTGCTGGGATTTTTAACTCAAAAATATAAAAACTTAAACTAATTAAAAAACATATAATGCCTGTTAGACTATTTGGCTACTTTAATGCTCAGCATGGGTTCTGTTTTCAGAGTAATACCATGCAGTATTTATATTTCATTGGATATTTGTTACTGATTAACAAAAGCAGAAATTTTATGTCCTACAATTCAGTAAAATCTATCATTCTAACATTCATAGGTAATCTTCTATATGTTCCAGACTCTGCTAATGTCTATAAGAGGGTAAACAAAAAACAGATTACATTAGACCAGACAAGAGATAGTAAAGGCCTAAACTAAAGCAAAAAATAAAATTTGGTTTAAATCCTGTGCAGATGCAGATGAGGATATAAGAAAACAGGTATAATCACATAAACAGTTGTGGGAATATAAAATTAGTGGCATCTCTTTGGAAGGCACTTGGGCAATAGGTATCAAAATCCAAGGAAACAGACTATTTGACCCAGCAATTCCCCACTAGTAATTTATACATTTACAGAAAGATATGTGTTGGAAATAACACTTAAAAGCATGCAAATGTTAACAACAGAGGAACATTTAAATAAATTATGGTATGGCCATATAGTGAACTATAATGACATTTTTAAAACCACTGATATGACAAAATCTCCAAGATATATCAAATAATTTTAAAGGTTCAAAACAATACATTATGCTTAAAAACACTGCTATATTTTTAAATATGTATATTATGGTATATAAAAACATTTCTGGAGGAATACACAAACAAGCACTAATAGTTTCCTCCATGGAATGAAACTGTGGGTGCGCCATGGAAAGAGATTTCCTTTTTAATTTATACTTATTTGAAAAGTTTTACTTTACCAGGTATACATACTACATTTTGAAATAAATTAACACTACAAAAAACTTAAAGGTGTGGCCAATCAGATAGGAAAGTTTATGCATTTAAATTTTAATTTTATGTGTTCAGAGGAACCAAAAAGGTGTTGAATTATAGAACTCATTTGAGTAACTGCAGTCATGAAGAATTATTATGAGAACATTACAAGAAGAAGGACAATCAGGAAAAAGTGCCTGATAGCTTAGATATTAGGAAGGCATCTGCTCTGACTGAGATGTGGAAGGACAGTAAGGATCAAATAATTTGAAGTGACACAGACACAGAAGGGTGACAAGTCTATATGAGATATGAATAAGAAACAAGAACATCAGAGAAGGACAACTGAGGAACTCAAATCAGATATATCCATAAGAAATATTGTAAGGCCACTTGAGAAAATACTTAACTATTTTAGGGTTCTAAGGGGAGAAATATGATTGAGATGGTATCTCACTGGAAGAAATCATAACCACGGAGCCAAACAAGAATCATAAAGAATGCCACGCTTGATCCTTTATTCACTGCACATCTAAGCAAGCATTCTAACAGTGGTGCAAAGAAAATATATGGCTGTCCTCCTTCAAGTCAATCTCAGAAACAACAGTGCTGTCTCAACTTTGATGGCACTTTAGAAATCTGCCAAAGAGCCTTAAAATATACTCATACCTGGAGAAACGTTATTTAATTGGCCTTTGCAATCTAAAGCACCTGCAGTTTTCAGTGTTCCCCTAAGTGATTCTTCTGTGCAGCCGAAGTTGAGAGCCACTGCTTTAAAATATTCTGATTATCACATTCATAGACATTCAAACCATCACAGTGTGAACTTGTCCCATTTCCAAGATAGAATGTCCTTCAGGTTTGATAAGAAATATAAACATTGCAATGACAGGCTTCTTTCTTTCCACACTTGTGGTAGACTGTTTCACTGGTAGATCCCAGTGAAACATGCCTTAGGGATTCATGCCTTTGTGCTTCTCATACTGACTCTGGGCTTGGGCACATGACTTGTTTTAGCCAAGTGACCTTAAGCAAGCACTGAGCTTTCGGGTTTCCTTCTTGGAACACCCATCTTGGGGCTCAGCTGCCATGCTTTAAAAGTAAGTCCAACTAGAGAGATACCACTTGGAGAGGCCCTGGAGGATGAGACACTGCCACATGGAGGAAAACCAAGAGGCCTCTGCTAAGCTAGGCTGAATGCATATGGTGTGGCCCCAACTGAACAAAGCAGCACACAGCCAACACAAAGATTTGTGAGATAAATAGTTGTCATCTTAAGCCATTAGGTTTTGAAGTGGTTTGTTACCTCACAGATAACCAGAACATTAAATACTTGTAAACTTTACATTTACTCCTTAAACAACATCTGGGCCCACCACTATTCCCTGAAGTTTTATATGCCCAACTCTGACTTTTCTTGTTTCCTCATATTGTCTTTTATGTATCTTATTTCTGTTCTTCTGCCAAGAGTAGTATTTCTCAAACTGAAGGGATTTGTAGACTACTTCAAAAGCACTCAGCATACAGTCACCAATCTTTTGTTTAAAAAAAGTCATCTGAATTTTAAATAAAAATTAAAAGTTTTAAAATCGCTAGTTTCATATCAGCAAGAGATTTGCTGTTTGCAATCTTTCACAAAGGTATCTTTATCTGACATGAGCCAAAGATCAGATTCCAAAATAACCCCATTAAAAAGTAGGCAGAGGACAAAGATGCTTCTCAAAAGAAGACCTACAAGCAGCCAACAAACATATGAAAAAAAATGCTCAACATCACTAATCAGAGATACGCACATCAAAACTACAATGAGATACCATCTCACGCTAGTCAGAATGGCTACTATAAGAAGGTCAAAAAGAATGTTGGCAAGGTTGTGGAGGAAAGAGAACACTTACACACTGTTGGTGGGAATGCAAATGAGGTTAGTCCCTGTGGAAACAAGTTTGGAGATTCCTCAAGGAACTAAAAATAGAACAACTATTCAACCCAGAAACCCCATTACTGGGTATATACCCAAAGGAAAATAAATCATTCTACCAACAAGACACTTGCATTCATATATTTATGGCAGCACTAGTCACAACAGCAAAGACATAGAATCAACCCAGGTGCCCATAAACGGTGGACTGGATAAAGAAAATGTGGTACACATACACCATGGAATACTGCACAGCCATAAAAAGAATGAGATGATGTCCTTTGCAGCAACATGGATGCAGCTGAAGGCCATTAACCTAAGCAAATTAATGCAGAAACAGAAAACCAAATACTGCATGTTCTCACTTAACAGTGGGAGCTAAACATTGGATATACATGGACACAAAGATGGAACAATAAACACGAGATTCCAAAGGAGGGGAGGGAAGAAAGGAGGAAAAGGGTTGAAAAACTACTTATTGAGTACACTATTCACTACTTGTGTGATGGGATCATTAGAAGCCCAAACCTCAGAGTCATGCAGTTTATGCAGCAAACCTGCACAGGAACCCCCTAAATCTAAAATTTTTAAAAAATCGGATTCCATATCCATTCAGTTTCTTTTCTTACTCTATTTCATCTAAATTAGAAAGCCCTTCTTTACCATTATAAAACATTAGGAATGACGGCAAGTCTGGCGTGCCTCTCTCAGAGAGTTGGGAATATTTGGAGCAAATGTAGACCTGGGAATTATGGAGAGACTTCTCCCTTATGTCTACTTTCAGTTGAAAAACTCGTCACATTTAAAGCAAAGCTAACCATTTCCTTCAACGTAAAGAAATGCACTTTTATATCCTGCTGCAGCATTTGCACTGATTTGTACATAAGCTATTCGATTTATTTATTCAAATAAAGAAAATCAAATAATGGAGAAAAAATATAACTCTTGGTAACAACCATTTGTATCACTATTCAGTCTTCTTCAAAATCTCCAATAATTTATCCTTAATGTTAAATACAGTAATATTGCAGCCATACAAAGATAGGGCCACACTACTCAAGACACTAAATATCATAAAGAAACACCAACTGATCATGCCACTTAATATAAAAAAGAGTCAATCTACTGTCCATAAAAAGATGTTTTTATTCCATATTTCAGGTAATCTTGTGTGACCCCCTTGCCATTGGGAAGGAGTAGGGAGAAAGCTGTATTGTATTTCTTTGCCCAGAACACTAACATAGAAACTCAATGACTGCAATTCCATCCTAGTCACAATTTTGACTACTTCCTTCATCTCTTAATCACCACCAGGACGTATACTATTGATTAGGAAATGCTCTTGGAAGTAAAGCAGAAGATAGACAAGTATCCAGGTAAACTCTTATATACATAGCAATGCTACTCTTGCCCCAACCAAAAACTGTTTCACTCTCTCTAAAAATCCTAATTCACCTTGCTCAGCCTACACAAGAATGCTCACAGCAATCACTTCCTTTTCATGTAACACAGGGTCATAAGAGATAAATAGTGGTAAAAGTCATCAAGCATTTCTCTGTCATTAGAATTATATGTTCTATGATGGTAAGAGCTTATTTCTTTTGTTAACTGCCATATTTCCATTGCCTGGAATAACTCTTGGCCCTGAAAAAATGTATGTTGAATGAACAAATAAATGAATGAATGCATGTAATTAATATATTCTGAACTGTGATTCAGTCTCTGTACCCCAGTTCTTGTGCTTTACTGGGAGAAAAATATTAGTACATAAAATAGTGACTGTACTTACACATTGATGGCTACTAATGTGTGATGTGTCATTGAACAAAAAATGTCATTTAACAAAGAGGTTTTGCCAATAATTAATCTGCTTCCCCTCTACACCCATTTATCGTAAGAGTTTGGGTTGGTTGACAAGCTTCTCAGTAATAATGTGACTTGTGTCACACAAAGGATTGAAATTCTAAATGACATCTGAAGGGTTTTAACTTCTGCCTTTCGGGAAAAAAGAATCATCAATTTCATATTTGGGTAGCTTATTTTTACAGTTTCCTAACAGGTGACTAGGGGGTCAGTAGATCATCAGTCCAATCAAATCTGAACACTAGTGTTCACTGCCATACTTCCTATTCACACATTTCCGTAGTTAGGAGCTTCCCCTAAATTATGGCACTAGCAGAGTCCTTTCTACCAACTTATGTCAATTTAAATTTAGTGCCTGAACTGGAGTTCTGATGTTAATATTTTAATTCTATTTTTGCCATGTAATCATTTTTGAGAAATCAGTCCATTTTTTGCGTGCAAGGCAATTAAATAACACAACACTAATAACTGAAATTAAATATTTAGATATGCAAATAATATGAACAGTTTGGCAAAGAAGCTGTCCCTTAACTGAGAAAACTGAGGAACTCGGTTTTCAAAATGTAATTATATTTGTGGAAAGATGCTGTTTCCCAATATTCTCTCTTTAATCCTCAATAATAAAGCCATTATATTTTGAACTAATCACATAGCCCCATAGATTAAATTGCACATTTTACATCTTCCTTTGAAGCTTATTTGGCCTCATAATTAAGTTCTGGTCAAGAAGAGGTAAACCAAATGGTCAAATGTGACTTCTAAAACTTGTGTTTAAAAGGGAAGTGCTTTAGCAGCCATCTTGTTGTGCCTAAGTCATTATTATCTTAGGATTTTCAGTTATTTGTACCCAAATCTATTCCTGA
Source organism: Homo sapiens (assembly GCF_000001405.40). NCBI lineage: Eukaryota > Metazoa > Chordata > Mammalia > Primates > Hominidae > Homo > Homo sapiens. The sequence continues at coordinate 204,754,636 of NC_000002.12, read as the reverse complement.
TATTGCAAACATTAAATATTTTCTGTGAAAATAATGTAATAACAATAGATAACACCTATGAAGAATTTACATGCCAGACATTCTAAATGTTTTACATTTAATAATTTATTGATTTCCAGAATAACTTTATAAGGCAGGTTCTATTATTATACTTACTTTCTACATGAAGGAACTGAGGCACAAAGAGGTTAAACAACTTGCTTGAACTCTCAAAGCTATTGACAGACAGTGCTCAGATTTAAACCCAGGAAGACTGCCTTTCGAGTTCCCTCTCTTTAACATTATGAGCTTTATTGCTTCTTATAATTATTCATGATTACACATGCTACAGTGCCTGTCATAATAATTAACATTTCAAATTGAAGAATGTATGTGAACAAAGCTGTCTCAACGTTCTTTTCATCCCTACCAACCAAATCACCTGTGAAGTATTTGCTGAGCCCTGGTAGAATACAGAAGTCCATGGATCCCATTTTGAGGTTCTCAAATCATTTTTTCCTTCAATGGAACTGAAACTGGCTCATAGTGGCACTGTTTTTCAGAGGCTATCCTCAATGCTAGAATCCCAGCAGGCAAATAGAAAGCCACAGTAACTTTACAGACACTTGCATCAGCCAGCCTGGCTGCAGCTATGCAGACTATACAGAATTGTGAACTTCTTTCCTGACCTTTGGATATATTCCAGGGGCCAATGCTTAATAACACTGCACCAATTATTTATTTTATATTATTTTATTTTAATTTTTTGGTAGAGATGAGGTCTTACTACGTTGCCCAGCTGATCTCAAACTCCTGAGCTCAAGCAATCCTCCTTCTTCAGCCTCCCAGAGTGCTAGGATTACAGCTGTGGCCCACCATGCCTGGCTCACCATTTCATTTTGAATAAAGTATTTCATTGTGTGCTGCTTTGTGACAAGAGAATCAAAGGCTTCCACAGCTGAATGGGATCTCAGGAATCAGTTTAGCCCAACTTTCCTCATTTTATTGATAAGAAAATTGAGGCATAGAGATGTTAACTTATTTGGTCAAAATCACATAGCTACTGATTACACAGCTGGAACTAGGCCATGGGTCTTCCAGTCAAATCAGTCAAGTACCAGATTTGGGGGGTTCCGTTTATTTATACTGTCCTTTAAAAATTCTAAGTAAGCTGCAGATAATAGACAAGCCAGTATAGAATGGGAAATTTTTTCTAGTAACTATAATACCTGCAGTATTTTTAGCTATAAGATCAAAGAACTTTAAGAGTCTTCAAATTATGAATCATTTAATACCATATATTAATAGAAATCTTTCAACACATTTAGGAGCACCTAGCTGTAATGTGGATGAAAAACTGAAGATATTTTTAAAATGCAGTATTTCCAGCTATAAAATCTTAAGCAACAAAAACATGACTAGCCATATCTTTCAATGGAAATTTCTCATTTTCAGAAAGACCTAAAATCTCATTCAATGATAATTTACTTTTTAATATAAACTACAAGCAGGTAAATAAGCCAATGGTCTGAGTGTTTTGACAAAACTGTGTTTTACATTACACCTTCTGTCTAGATTTTGGCTCTAAAATACCGAATAGGACTTTTGGCGTTACCTAAACTTACCCAAAATTTAAAAGAATTTTGAAAAGATGTCATTTTCTGAATTTATACATTTAGTAAGCAGATAATTTGGATTTTGCTCTTTAAACCAGTGTCACAAATTGTAATAGTCATGGAAAATTAACCTGTATAGTACACTGTGGGATGTCGTAGGTGGTTTACAGGATTGACGGCTTTTCCAATTAAGCCTAAAAAGAATCCATGCTACAACTAAAACCTCACAGATGAGAACGGCACGCAATTGTACATGGTCAAGATGTTAACAGGGAATGGGAGATAGGCCATTTAATATAAATTATACCCCTTTCAAAAGGCTTGGCAGTGATTTATGGATGGAGATGACATAAAATCAGAAATTAAAGGATCAAAGAGAATAGGGATCAACTGAAGAAAATAAAGTAGTAGTTGTTCCTAGAATTGAACTGAACAAGTTACACCATTGGAATAATGAATTTCGTTCTAAGCTTACTGATCTCTAAGGCAAAAATGAAAATAAGTTGGGTTTCACAGTTCTAATTTGTTAGAAAATTAACAAGGGGCAACATTCGAGTTTATAAAGATACCATTTTTTATTCATTCACTAAAAGTACGAATTCATTAGATGTGTGCTTGTATGATGCTGAATCAATGGCTAAACAGCTGCAGCAATAGGTAAACACTTCAGAGGGCTTACTTATGTGGCACTTTACCAAGTAGCCCACATTTATTATACCATTTAATCATCATCATAACCTTAAGATACCTCAATTTATAAATGAGAAAATGGAATCATAAAGACATAAAGATTGCCCCATAGCAGAAAGTAAGCAATACAGTCAAAGGCACTGGGCCTAGCTCCAAAATCCACACTTTTAAAGATAATCTTACTTTCTCAATATATAAAATGAGCACATTTCCTAAATGTTTTAGGATGATATAAGGAAGTAACCCTGGTGTGTAATGATTATGCTTATCAGATATTTTAAGTTCCAAAGCCTACATTTTTAAACACAGCACTTCTCTTTCTTGTGAAGCAAATATCTAGTAAGACATATTTGACATTGGGATCAGCAGGATGAATACATAGCCCTTGACATCACAGATCTTATGAACAAGATGTATTATGGAAATAATGTTCCAACACAGAGTTCTCCTGTTGAGCCTCTATAATATGAAATATTAAATTTTAAGTCAGTGATTACATTTCTTCAGGGATAATGTGATTAAGATACTTTGCTTGCTGGTGTGTTATCTTAATACTACCTTAAAACATGAAGAAAGCCAATGAATTGTCAACTACATCCATGACAGTTTCTCTCAATTTTCAGCAATTTTGGCCAAGTGCTGAATTTTGGTCAACTCATCATCTACCAATTAAAAAATACCTACTCAGCAAGTTTTATTCAGAGATTTCAAGTTATAAGACAGATGTACTGGAAACCAGGACTGAAGAAGACAAGGTGGAAATTCTATAGCAGAAATAAAACTTATTTTCAGTAGGGATTGAAGGTTTGAAAAATTGGGCCAGATCTGGAGGGAAGTTTGGAGACCACCTCATGCCCATAGGCAGAACTAATATTTCTCCTCTTTGCCCAAAAGGCAGTGTGTACCTTGAAGTTAAAGAAGTTTAAGCTTAAGGGCTTCTCCTGCCCAGAGGGCCCCAGGAGAGAATCCAACACCTTCCATTAGAAGTTTTATAAATTTCTAAAGGAAAGCATTTTTTTGTGTTTTTGTTTTTGTTTTTCTTTAAAGGAAACCTCCCAAATTTTATATGCTTCAGATCCCATCAAGCCTGGATATGGCTCCATTTGCCTCCATTAAGATTTCCAATCATCTCAAACTTCTGCAACGTTGATTAGCTGAGGCCCCAAATATCACAAGTCAAAAAAAGAAGCTGCTTCTATTTTTCTTCAGAAAGATATTTCAGCATCAATTCCTTTCATTATGACGCTCTTCTACCTCTTGCTGACAGGTGGTAGCAGTTTTAATAAAGCTCACAGGATGACAGGAAAGAAATGAATATTAACTTTTCCACAGGCATAGAATATAACCTTGTTTTTATGTAAAATTCAACCTTCAAAAAATAGTATAAGCTGTGTCAATGTACTGAGTGTTCATCTATGGTGAAATAGTAGAGTAAGGATGGTTTACATTTTTAAAAAAATGTAAAGCCTTTGCAAGAGTTACCTAAATTACATCATTTAAATCTGATGAAGATATTATATAAAATTATGTGTGCTCACACTTTAAAAATAATTTTAAAGAAAGTCAAACAAAGCCATCCAGCTACAGAGCACTTGAAAGGAGGATAGTATTTATCTGCCTTTAGAAAAACAAATTACTAAATATAGCCCCACCCCCTTTACTAGGAAATGAGATGACACCATGAATATTTCCTTTTATGTATGTATGTATGTGTGTGTGTATGTATGTATGTATGTATGTATGTATGTATGTATGTGTGTATTTTTGAAACAGCGTTTCACTCTTTCACCAAGGCTGAAGTGCAGTGGTGCGATCTGGGCTCACCACAACCTCCACCTCCAGGGCTCAAACGATTCTCCAGCCCCACCCTCCCAAGTAGCTGGGACTACAGGCATGAGTTGCCAAAGCGCAGCTAATGTCTGTATTTTTTAGTATAGATGGGGTTTTGTCGTGTTGCCCAGGCTGGTCTTGAACTGCTGAGCTCAAGGTGATCTGCCTGCCTTGGCCTCCCAAAGTGCTGGGATTACAGGCGTGAGTCACAGCACCAGGCCAACACTATGAATATTTTAAAGAAAAAAGAGAAACAATTTCTTCAGAAGCAGACCTTGGAGTACCACCTTTTAACTCAAAGCTCTAAAGTGATAGTGCTTAGATTTCCAAATGATAACAGAAACCTTAGTTATTGAGATGTAGCAACTTCTTATTCAAATCTTATGCCACCTAAGTAAAAACACTGACATCAGAAACTTTTTCAAAGCTGCATATATTGGCTCCTCCATGTGTATCACAGTTGAGCCATACTTTGAAAATCAGTTCCATATCAAAGCTTTTTTTCACACATTTCAACCCAATTAGAGACAAGAGAGATGAGTGTTAACAAGTAAGTTAATTTTAGAAAATATATGCAAAAAAGCCAAATGTTTTTAATTACTTTAATATTTTCCACATGTAGAAATTTATCTTATTAGACATTAAAACAAGGTTTAAAAAAAGAAAAATCAGAGCCACCAGCATGCCGTATGAGGCGATCAGCTGGACACAAATTAATATTGATGTTCTGAAACTTCCTTTACCACTATCAGCTGGTGTAGAAAGTATTATATTAGAATCTTCGCAAGCCCAGTTAGCCCACATGTTTTTACCCAGTAAATGCATGACGTTCTCAGAGTTGTTCAGGTTAGCTTTTAAACCGTATCGAGAACCAAGGAGAAATATAATTCAGATCTCTAATCTTTTTTTTGTTGTCAACAAGTTTTTCAATGACTTTATTTTTAGAATAAAAAAAGATAAAGGCTATTTTATGCTCTCATTAGATATGAGTCAAATTGGTGGGTGCCAAATTGGGAGAAACTGGTAAACCACAACTCTTAGTCATCTATTTTCCTACTCATATTCTCTATGAACTTGAAATATTTGAGTTACTAATATTGTGAGATATCCTAAAAATGAAGAAATAGTGAAGCACTCCTTAGAGATCAACACTATATAAAAAGAGTGTTGTTACAATACACCAAAATTATTATCCTAAACCAAAAAATTGATATGTAAGGCCCCTTGATACTTGGGAAATAAAGTCATTAAAATGAGTTCTCTGCTTCAATACCCTTAGAAACCATGGCTTTAAAGCATTGTAACTAATCAAGAAATTATCCATTTTTTATTCAAATAGCCCTCGGTGGTATTACCATTCTAAAGATAGAGGCTAGAATCTTTGCACTTTTGCACTTGAGATAATTAACAGATCAGTTTGGGGGTGTTAGGGGGACAAAAATTCCCTGCAAAACTTTACAATTTCAATTAATTATGAATTTGAGACAGGTTATATAAAATTTTACCCTTGATATTAACGAAAAGGGGGTTGGCTCAAGTAAATAAAATTATAAGTATGTAAATGATCAAGTTTGCAAGAACAAATTCTCCATCTCAACAAACTGAAATTCTATCAGATTTACTGTCAAAACTACTTTCAATGAGGATATGGGTATATAGGAAAAAAGACATTAAAATAATCTAGGATTTTCCCTAATTTAGAATGTTAGCATTAAATATTCTAAATTATTATCCAATTTCATTTTATTTCCTATTTGTACAGCAGTGGTTCTCAAAGTGTGCATTCTGACCAGCAGCCATCAATATCAGTTAGGAACTTGTTAAAAATGCAGTTCTCATACCCTACTCCACACCCACTGAATCAGATAGTTTAGAGTTGAGGACCAGCAATCTGTGTTTTAATAAGCTTTTGAGTAATTAAAATGCATGCTAACTTTGTACAACCACTGCCCTAAAGATTGTGAGATGAAACAACCTCCCCATGTCTAGTCAAAAGACATAAAAATACAGAGAGAAAAAAAATTCCACAATCGTTTCTCATCCCTCTAGACTTCATATCCTACTTCTTTGTAGGAAGATGAGTAGAAAAATGTCACGAGGTCATAGCAGGACATTACACTAGGACATCTGTCCTAGTATATTCTGGATATGAGCCCTAATCCAGGCTCAGGAAGGAGTTGAACTCTTAGTTGAAGAAATTACAGTAATTGATTCCAAATCTCAGATCATTCCACATGGAACAATTTTTACGTGTATGAACTGGTGACATTTTTCTACCCATCTTTAGGTGTCATTTAATCTGCCAATCTTTAAGAAAAAAATGTGGCATCTGCCTAGCTCTACCTGCATTCCAACCTGTCTTTGAGCAACCGTACTCAACCATATTATTTTAAATCTCCCAGAATTTTATTTGCCTACATGATAGATATTATCAGTAAGAACTCAATAAAATATATTATTATATTTTTATAAAGAGTCTTCCTAATGATGATGTTTTTCCCATTACCCAAGGCCTGTCATCTCCCACATCTCAGTACTGGGAGTAGTCTTACTCAACTCTGAGTATCATGTAATTTTTGTTTCTTCATGCTTGCTCTTAAAATGTTAAAGCCAATTTTACAGCCTAAGCCTAGTAAATGCGATAAAATTAACACCTTGAATTTGTATGCTAACCTACCCTTGATTACATCCTATATCTTATAAATTTTTATTTTTAATGCTTATTTCTCATTTCTTTTTAAAATCCTGCTATATCATTTTGGAGGGCTCTGTTCTGTTCCAATGGTCTATATCTCTGTTTTGGTACCAGTACCATGCTGTTTTGGTTACTGTAGCCTTGTAGTATAGTTTGAAGTCAGGTAGCATGATGCCTCCAGCTTTGTACTTTTGGCATAGGATCACCTTCGCAATGTGGGCTCTTTTTTTGGTTCCATATGAACTTTGGGTTTTTCCAATTACGTGAAGAAAGTCATTGGTAGCTTGATGGGGATGGCATTGAATCTATAAATTACCTTGGGCAGTATGGCCATTTTCACGATACTGATTCTTCCTATCCATGAGCATGGAATGTTCTTCCATTTGTTTGTGTCCTCTTTTATTTCGTTGAGCAGTGGTTTATAGTTCCCCTTGAAGAGGTCCTTCACATCCCTTGTAAGTTGGATTCCTAGGTATTTTATTCTCTTTGAAGCAATTGTGAATGGGAGTTCACTCATGATTTGGCTCTACCACACATCTACAACCATCTGATCTTTGACAAACCTGACAAAAACAAGAAATGGGGAAAGGATTCCCTATTTAATAAATGGTGCTGGGAAAACTGGCCAGCCATGTGGAGAAAGCTGAAACTGGATCCCTTCCTTACACTTTATACAAAAATCAATTAAAGATGGATTAAAGACTTAAACGTTAGACCTAAAACCATAAAAACCCTAGAAGAAAACCTAGGCAATACCATTCAGGACATAGGCAGGGGCAAGGACTTCATGTCTAAAACACCAAAAGCAATGGCAACAAAAGCCAAAATTGACAAATGGGATCTAATTAAACTAAAGAGCTTCTGCACAGCAAAAGAAACTACCATCAGAATGAACAGGCAACCTACAGAATGAGAGAAAACTTTTGCAATCTACTCATCTGACAAAGGGCTAATATCCAGAATCTACAAAGAACTCAAACAAATTTACAAGAAAAAAACAACCCCATCACAAAGTGGGCAAAGGATATGAACAGACACTTCTCAAAAGAAGACATTTATGCAGCCAACAGACACATGAAAAAACGCTCGTCATCACTGGCCATCAGAGAAATGCAAATCAAAACCACAATGAGATACCATCTCACACCAGTTAGAATGGCGATCATTAAAAAGTCAGGAAACAACAGGTGCTGGAGAGGATGTGGAGAAATAGGAACACTTTTACACCGTTGGTGGGAGGTAAACTAGTTCAACCATTGTGGAAGACAGTGTGGCAATTCTTCAAGGATCTAGAACTAGAAATACCATTTGACCCAGCCATCCCATTACTGGGTATATACCCAAAGGATTATAAATCATGCTGCTATAAAGACACATGCACACGTATGTTTATTGCGGCACTATTCACAATAGCAAAGACTTGGAACCAACCCAAATGTCCATCAGTGATAGACTGGATTAAGAAAATGTGGCACGTATACACCGTGGAATACTATGCAGCCATAAAAAATGATGAGTTCATGTCCTTTGTAGGGACATGGATGAAGCTGGAAACCATCATTCTCAGCAAACTACCGCAAGCACAAAAAAACAAACACTGCATGTTCTCACTCATAGGTGGGAATTGAACAATGAGAACACTTGGTCACAGGAAAGGGAACATCACACACTGGGGCCTCTTGTAGGGTGGGGGGAGGGGGGAGGGATAGCATTAGGAGATATACCTAATGCTAAATGATGAGTTAATGGGTGCAGCACACCAACATGGCACATGTATACATATGTAACAAACCTGCACGTTGTACACATGTACCCTAGAACTTAAAGTATAATAAAAAAAAAAAGAAAAAAAATCCTGCTATATTACATGTTTTTGTTCGTTTTACGCCCTTTTTTTAAATTAAGGAAGGCAAAAACAAAGGAATGAAGAGGAAAAACAGAAACTGGGAGGATGGGGCTTTGGGAGTCCATGGCGGAATTCAGCAAGTGAATAGTGCTAGGCCTTAGAGACAGACATACCTGAATATCAATTCCATCTCCAGAATTTACTATTAATAGCGATACAATCTTGGACAGATTATTAGATTGGCTCAACCTTCTGGGTGTAATGAAAATGGTAGTATCGGCCAGGCATGGTGGCTCATGCCTGTAATCCAAGCACTTTGGGAGGCTAAGACAGGCAGACCACTTGAAGCCAGGAGTTTGAGACCAGCCTGGCCAATATGGTGAAACCTCATCTCTACTAAAAATACAAAGATTAGCCAGGTGTGGTGGTAGGTGCCTGTAATCCCAGCTACTCAGGAGGCTGAGGCAGGAGAATCACTTGAATCCGGGAGGTAGAGGTTGCAGTGAGCCGAGATCGCACAGTTGCACTCCAGCCCAGGTGACAGAGCAAAACTCCGTAACAAAAAAAAAAAAAGGTAGTATTTACCTTACAAAGGATTATTATAATGGTTGGAAGTAACGTATGCAAAAATCTGTTACACTGTTTGGCAGAGAATAGGTAGTCCTAGAAAGTTAGCTATTATTATCAATGTCCATATGGGAGGCCGATTGAAGAGCCGCAAAACACAAGTTCCTTGACCTTCTCCAAGGAAATGCTACCACGGGAAAAGCCAGTGGCCATAGCACAGACCCTGGCATCACCAGAACAGGATTTCCTCCAACATCATCGATTCTGGAATTCCATCTTCTATCCTCCATCTTTCTATCACTAAGTGTGAGCCTAGAACATTGAGACCTCAACTTTAAAGCATTCCTCTTCTTCAACAACTGTGTCTCTTCCTGTCTTTATTTCCTTCCCTACTCAGATAGGACCCCACAATGAAGCACTTCTACTCTCTCACTTGTCAACTATCTTTTTTCAATTTCTTTTCCCTCAGTCCTTCTGTTGCATCTGACTGGACAGCCCCACTCAATTAATCAATCACTTGCTTTTACTGGAGGGGAATGGGTTAGAGTGGTACCTCTTGGTCTAGATTTTAAATTTTAAACTTTAGTCTCACCGTCAGAAATTCTTTAATTTCCTCATGGTTCTATTCCACAAACTTCACTGTTTTCCGCCTGGTCCCTACTCAACCCTATCAATCTTAGCTGACAGCCTTGACTCCCACTCAGGAATTAAGTTCAACTCTCCAAATCCTGATACACAGGCACATTGATATCCCTTGTCTTAGAGAACAATTTTTCTTCTGCCCAAGGCCACCAGTTTCATCTGACTGGCCCTGGATCTCTTTCTGACTCCTCTTAGATCTTGTTTCAGCCATTAAACCCTCTCTCTCTTTTAAAACATACATTCAGCTGCATCCTCCCCAGTTTCTCATTCCACACAGATTAAAAACATTTGTCTGTTCCATCTTGAAAAATAAGAACTGTCAGCTCCAAATTGGCACCTAAGAATTAGAAAAATGTGCTACAAAATTCAAAATGTTTTTATATCAATTAAAACCCCAAATTTTGGGTTTTGTTTGCTTTGGCCTCGTTTGAATCAGAATAGATCTGACCTTGCCATGGGACAAGGTTCCTGAGGGTCCACATTCTGTTTTACTGTGAACCCCATCTTTTGTCCACAGTCTGTCGGATACAGGAGAATATATGGTCCAAGTTGGACCAATCTGAATGACTCTCTGGTACAAAGATCTTAATTCAGTCAGGCTTAATCATGAAATGTAGATAATTTTACAATTCAGTTGTTCTCATTTAACCATCTTTACCAAATCAATTGAGAGTTGAGAAAAGAACAGAGCAGATATCTAATACAGATAGAAAAAAGGGGCCAGATCTAGCTTCTTGATCACTTTTCATTTCCCTTTGTGAGGTCCAGGTTTCTGAATGCCTACCTTTGGGTTTTGTTAGACTCTGAAATCAGGTTTTCCTACTCCAAGGTAGTCCTAGTTGTTATTAGAACCAACCAAAGAGCCAAAATACTTCTCAGTGAAAGAAATGAGAAGTCCTTACTTTGTGGCCCATCCACACTTCCCTTCTGAAATGTCAGCATCCACTGGCTGAGTAGCATTAGGGGGATGAAACTTGGCTACGGTCTGAGATCACCATAGAGAGGATATCTGAGTAGTGACAGACCTGTGAGAGTAACTATGTGTCAGAGTTACATGGAAAAGAAAAATATGAGTATATGTAAGTGGAAAAAAAAACTTGAAAGGCCACTCAGGAAGCTATGGGAAGGAAAAGCAATAAGAAGGAAGTTAGAAACCCAAATGAGCTGGCTGATATAAACCCCTGCTGAAGTTCTTGCCATTTTTTACAACGCCATTAAAGCAATAAAATAAGTTTGTTTCTTTTCTCTTCACATGCACATGATGAGAAACCTTACCAGTAAATGCCACAGTGTACAGGCTTATAACAGGTCATTTTTCAAGATATGTACATGTCCTCTATACTAGTTTAGAGCTTGTTTTAAATCCTTCCCATTTAAAATTAAGTGGAACATTTAAAGCAAAGAACCATAAAATAAAGATCAACTTTAAAAATCTATATGCAATTAAGGATTTCAAAAGAGAGATTAATATTTAACTACAAAAATATAATGCAAAAATCAAACCAGAGCAGCAGAAAAAAAATCACCCTTCTGAGCACCTTTACAACACAGAAGGAGCTCTCTCCAAAAATCTTAACAAAGCCAATCTTCATTCATTTAACCAACATTTAGTAAGTATCTACTCTGGGTACATACACTAAAACTAGAAGTTAACACATTAAAGATAACATTGAAATTGTGAATCATAACTAAATTACTATTCCAAAAAATTAATAAAGGAATAAATTTAAAACAGGGTTAACTTGCTTAGAGCCATGTTGCTTCCCAACCTATTACAAAACAAAGAGTGTGGACTTCCAAAAGACAAACTCTGAGAAAAAGCTTTGTAAATGGAAACAATGTAAATGAAATCTCTTTTACTTGTTAAAACAATGATATAATGTTCCTGGAAAAAGCAACTGATGGTTCTTTGTATATGAACACCCCCTCCATATTTAATCTAACATAGCAAAACAATCCTATTCTACCTATTAAAACACTATCCTATGTTACAGTACTAAGTAGAATTAAAAGTTTTATAATTAAGTCTGTGACAATGCAGATCAAGTTAGTGACAAGTGAGCAATCATTTAAAAAGTCATTTTACTGCAGGAATGAGTTTACACAGTGCTAAAGGCAAAGGTATCAATGAGAAGAATCAACTGAGAAAAGGGTGTTGATCCAACCTTCCCATTATCCCTGGAATAAAACAACCCTGGTTAAAACCATATAGACAGAGCAACAGCTTTTGCTCTATTCTCACTCAGCTGCCCCAGTGATGCTCTCAGCTGAGCTCCCAGCACAAGTTACAGGCCAAGGTCCTGCCCCCTTACTCTATCCCTTTCTCCTCACCTTCTTCACATCTCTTGCCCATCGATCTCCAGCTCCACAGAGTCCCACCCTGGTCTACTTATCTTCATTTTTACATGGTTTTCTTCATTTCTATCTCAAAATCTGGAGAGGACAATGGCAGAGACAGTGCATTCCCCATTTTTAAATTAATGTAAAAATCAAGAAAAATATATGTGACTATGTACATATACATATACGTATAATGTTAAAATGTATGACTATTTTATACATATAAAGCTACCTTACATAAATAATAAGAAATACTTATTCAGAAGGATAAGAAGGTACAATGCATGTTAAATACTAAGAACAATTGCAAATCCTTAGACAGTGGTTCTAAAACTTAGCCTGCATCAGTATCCCCTGCATAGCTTATTAAAAGACTGCTGGATCCCAGCCCCAGAGCTTCTGAGTAAGTAGATCCTGGGTGAAGTGTAAGAACATGCATTCATAGTAAGTTCCCAGGTAATACTGATACTATTGGCCCAGGGACCACACTGAGAACCTCCGGACTTTGAATGTCAGCATCACTTAATCCTATTGTTACAGCTCAGGGGTTTGCTGAATCCTTTAAGAAAAAAAAAATTGCTTTTAGAAAAGCCCATTATATAATGAGTAGGAAGAACTGTCACAGTTGAGAAGCACATAATATCCCTGGGCCAGATGGCTTGTGTCCCCACTGGGACAGCCCCCTAAAATGACTTTACCTTATGTCTACAAAGTGCCAAATTACGGGTATAATTTGCTAAATTACAGGTATAAGAGGTGTATTTTCTATAAAGGTGGTAGAAAAGGAAGGTGAAGCCAGGACTTTTCAAGATTTTCTTCTCAAACTAGTAAGAATAAACATAGTCTTAATAAACTAAAGACTACTTGGAAAATAACATGGAGGGCTCTAAGATTAAACACAACACTATAAATCTAAGGAAATACTGAATTATGAACTAAGACCATATCATGATGGGTTCTGTGAGGAGAGTTAGTGTCGCAGGTGGCTACTATAACACATTTCTGTTGGTTCAAGACCCATGAAGATTTGGGGAAATGAAGTCCTAATTTCCTCAGGCCTATCATAGAAAAAAACAAAGAACTCAGCAGCATCAGATCTCATTTTAAGTAACACAAGAAAAAGTTATTTCTTTCCTTTGAGAAAGCCAGGAACAAGGCAAATATAATTTCATTTTATAAATACTAATTGTATCTTTTTCTCCTTTCTTTTATATCACTATATCAGTAATGTTTTCTGCCTTCCTATTTCCAAAAGTTGTTAGCTCTCTACAAAATTCTAACAGTTCATTAGTGATACAGGAACAAAGCAAAACCTGCCATTTTTAATTATGCTACAAGCTTCTTAAACTATGCGTTATTCAAATTGATGCCAATTATTTTGAAATGAAATAAAAATGCTACTTATCTATGAATAATATATAGGTAATATATTATTTTTCCATCCATCTAAGAGTCTCAATTTTATGATTTAGAAGTCATCATTGCTTTTTCTCTAGAGATAAAACCATAACTTAAAACACATGAACACACTTTAAGATACACAAAAACATCCACTATCAAATATGAGAAACAATATTGGGACATGTTCTATTTCAAATGTGATATAAGATTTTTAGATTAACTTTTCAGTTGCACTGGGAGCCTAGAGCTGTCATGTATGAAATCTGTGCACCCTGGTGTCACCATGCTCTGAGGAAGCCCAAGATACATGAGGAGGCTACATGTAGGCACTCTGGTGGACAGCCCCAGCTGAGCTCAGCCTTTTAGTCATCTCAGCCCAGATACAGACATAAGAGTAAAGAAGCCTTCAGAGGATTTTAGATTTCAATCTTTTGAGTCTCCCTGGCTATTGAAGCCTTGGCCATTCTAGCTGAGGCCCCAGACATCATGATGCAGAGACCAGGCATCCCTGCCATACCCTGCCTAAATTCCTAAACTGCAGAATCCAGAAGCATAATAAAACAGTTTTTGTTTTATACTACTGCGGCTAAGCTGGCTTGTTTACAGAAATAGATAACTGAAGCATGCTAGCAATAAAGTTATGGCTGGATTTGATTTCATACAGAGCAATCAGAAAATAAATGTGCCGAAGATGTAAAGAATTAAAGTTGGCCGGGCATAGTGGCTCACACTTGTAATTCCAGCCCTTTGGGAGGCCAAGGCAGGCAGATCACTGGAGGTCAGGAGATCGCGATCAGCCTGGCCAACATGGCAAAAACCCTGTCTCTACTAAAAACTAAAAAAAAAAAAAGATTAGCCAGGCATGATAGCACACCTGTAATCCCAGTTACCTGGGATGTTGAGGCAGTAGAATCACTCGAACCTGGGAGGTAGAGGTTGCAGTGAGCCGAGATGGCATCACTGCACTCCAGCCTGGGTGATGAGAGAGTGACTGAGACTCCATCACAAAAAAGAAAAAACAAAAGAAAAAGAAAGAAAGAAAACAGAATTAAAGTTTAGGGAATATCTTTGAAACTAATACAAAAAAAAAAGGGGCATTGTATATTTCTTTTAAAAATGTCATTACTGTGTTATGATTACAAAATAAAGCTGAGAAGCTTTATTCTTAAAAAGGAAATGCCTGCCCTCTTAAATAATATTAAAACCAAAAATTTTTTTCCGATAAAAATAACTGTTTATCTTACATTGAGAAAATACACAGATAAAATAGACATAATGAGGCCAGGCATGGTTGGCTCACACCTGTAATCCCTGCAGTTTGGGAGCATCACTTGAGGCCAGGGATTTGAGACCAGCCTGGGTAACATTCCAAGACCTTATATCCATTACAATAAAATAAAACAAAAACATTAGCCAGGTGTGGTGGCACACACCTGTAGTCCTAGCTACTCAGGAGGCTGAGGCTGGAGGTTTGCATGAGCCCAGGAGTTTGAGGCTGTAGTGAGCTATGATTGTACCACTGCGCTCCAGCCTAGGCAACAGAGCAAAATACTGTCTCTCAAAATAATAATAATATAATAATAGAGATGATGAAACCCCCACACACATTTCAATAAATAGACAGATACCCAGGTCCAGAAAACCAACATACTCATTTCAATAAATAGACAGATGCCATGGCACAATGAACCAACACACACATTTCAATACATAGATAAATGGAAAGGCTGAGTGAACCAACACACACATTTCAATACATAGATACTGGGGCACAATCAACCAAAACACACATTCCAATGAATGAGTAGATCCCAAGGCACAGAAAACCAACACACACATTTAAATAAGTTGACAGATGCTGAGGTACAGTGAAGTAACACATACAATTCAATAAATAGGCAGGTGATAAAGCACAGAGAACTAACATACACATGCCAGTAAGTAGATTAAAAAGTAGATTTAAAAAATTGTCTCCCAAAAACCAAAGTAGAAACTCTTAGGCAGAATCCTAAGAATTCCCAGTGATACTCACCCTTGCATAATCCTCCCACTGAGTATAGCTAGAACCTGTGCATATGATGAGACATCATCCCTGGAATTATTTTATGTTATATGATACAGTTGGCCTTAAACCAGAGAGACTATTTAGTAGGTCTCATCTAATTACATCAGCCATTTAAAAACAGTTTTCTCCTGATGTTAGCAGAAGGGGAAGTTAGGGAAGAAAAAAAATCAGATGTTGCTCATTTGCCGATGAAAGGGAAATGCAAGAGAGAATTGGGGCACCCTCTAGGAGCAGGGAGTGACCATAATGAACAGCCAGAAAGGATGTGGGGACCTCAGACCTGCCTGTCTAGGAGGTCAAACTCTGCAACAGAGCATCCCAAAGCCTCCATAAAAGAGCCCAGCCTGGCTGATACCACGATTTTGGCCTTGTGAGACCCTAATTAGAGAACTCAGCTCAGTCTGTCCAGATTTCTGGCCTTCAGAACTCCTACCTAATAAACTAGACTTGTTTTAAGAAGCTATGTGGTAATTTATTACGCAAAAATATAAAGCTAATACTCTAGCCTCAGATTCCAATCTCATTAGTTCCACATTAGAAAGTTAGATTTACAATATACACAAAAATGTAGCACTGTTATATACCAACAGTGACCTAGCTGAGAATCAAATCAAGATCTCAATCCCTTTTACAACATCAGGAAAAAAAATAAAATACCTAAGAACATATGTAATGCGGGAGGTAAAAGATCTCCACAAGGAGAACTACAAAACACTGCTAAAAGAAATCACAGATGACACAAATGGAAATGCATCCCATGCTCATGGATTAGAAGGATCAATATTGTGAAAATGACCATACTGCCTAAAGAAATCTACAGATTCAATGCAATTTCCATCAAAATACCAACATCATTTTTCACAGAATTAGAAAAAAAAATCCTAAAATTAATATGGAATCAAAAAAGAGCCCGAATAGCCAAAGCTATCCTAAGCAAAAGTTTTTGAACAAATCTGGAGGTATCACATGACTGGACTTTGAATTATACTACAAGACTACAGTTACCAAAACAGCATGGTACTGGTATAAAAGTAGGCACATAGATCTATGGAAAAGAACAGAGAACCCAGAAATAAAGCCAAATATGTACAGCCAACTGATTTTCAACAAAGCATACAAAAACATGAATTGGGGAATGGACATCCTATGTATTAAATGGGAAAACCGGCAAACCACATATAAAAGAATAAACTGGATACCTATATCTCACTTCATACAAAAATCAACTCAAGATAGACCAAAGACTTAAATATAAGATCTGAAACTATAAAAATTCTAGCAGACAATGTTGGAAAAACTCTTCTAGACACTGGCCTAGGCAAAGAATTCATGACTAAGATCCCAAAAGCAAATGCAACAAAAACAAATAAATGGAACCAAATTAAGCTAAAAAGCTTCCACACAGCAAAAGAAACAATAAGCAGAGTAAACAGACAACACCCAGAATGGGAGAAAATATTTGCAAAGTTCACATCTGACTAAGGACTAGTATCCAGAATTTACAAGGAACACAAACAAATCAGCAAAACAAATAATCTCATTAAAAAGGGGGCAAAAGACATAGACATTTCTCAAAAGAAGACATACGAATGGTCAAAGGCATGAAAAAATGCTCAACATCACTAACCATCAGGGAAATGCAAATTAAAACCACAATGAGTTATCACCCTACTCCTGCAAGAATGGCCACGATTAAAAAGTCAGTGGGACGCAGTGGCTCATGCCTGTAATCCCAGCACTTTGGGAGGCCCAGGCAGGCGGATCACCTGAGGTCGAGACCAGCCTGACCAACATGGAGAAACCCCATCACTACTAAAAATACAAAAATTAGCTGGGCATGGTGGCATGTGCTGTAATTCCAGCTGTAATTCCATAGCTGTAATTCCAGCTACTAGGGAGGCTGAAGCAGGAGAATCACTTAAACCCAAGAGGCAGAGGTCCAGTGAGCTGAGATTGGGCCATTGCACTCCAGCCTGGGCAACAAGGGCAAAACTCCATCTCAATAAATAAATAGTCAAAAAACAATAGATAATGGTGTGGATGTGGGGAAAAGGGAATGGTTATACACTGCTGGTGGGAATGTAAATTAGTACAACCTCTATGAAAAACAGTATGGAGAATCCTTAAAGAGATAAAAGTAGATCTACCATTTAATCCGGCAATCCTACTATTGAGTATCTACCCAAAGGAAAAGAAGTCATTCTATGAAAAGACACTTGCACACGTATGTTTACAGCAGCACAATTCACATTTGCAAAGATGTAGAACCAATCTAAATGCCATCAACTTCCAAGTGGATAAAGAAAATGTGGTACATATACACTATGGAATACTACTCAGCTATTAAAAAGAACAAGATAATATGTTTTGCAGCAACTTGGATGGAGCTAGAGGACAGTATTCTAAAAAAAGTAACACAGGAGTAGAAAACCTAAAACCAAAAACTGTATGTCCTCACTAGTGGAAGTTAAGCTATGAGTACGCAAAGGCATGCAGAGTGATATAATAGACATTAGAGACTCAGGAGGAGGAGGATGAAAGGGGGGGCTAGCGATAAAAACTACGCATTAGGTGCAATGTACACACAGTTTGATGGGTACACTAAAATCTCAAAATTCATCACTATAGGATTCATCTATGTAACAAAAAAAAGCACTGTACCCCAAATGCTATGGAAATGAAAATATGAATTTAAAAAATAAAAACGTTTTACATCTTTGTTTTAACTAATGCATTTTCTTTCTGAATTAATCTAAATTTAAAAATCAGTTAATCTTTAGTTTCTGACCAAAAAAAAAAAATAGTACTCATAGATTTCTCCTCCTGTATAGAAACATAATTTTTTAGTAGAACTGAGGACTTGATAGAAAAGAGGGAGTAAGAGGGATGTGCCTTCTTAAATGGTCACATCACTTAAGAATCAAAAGTCTCAAAGAGTTTCCGGGGGTAAACTACTCTTCAGAGCTATCTTTCCCAGAGAAGGGTATATTTATATTTCAGCTTTTTGTCATAACATTTTAAGCACGTAGAAAAGTTAATGAGTAAATAAATGCTCATACACCCTTCACCCAGATTTAATAATTTATATTCTGTTATTGTTGCCTTATGCGGATGTGAATTATTCCTTTCTTTTATTTCCGCATCAAAGCAAGGTGCCAACAACATGATGCAACACACCATGCTTCCCCTATGAATAAAAACAGTCTCGTCAAAACCAAAATGCCATTATCACACCAAAACAATTAACCAAATTCCACTATGTCTAACGGCCCATCCATATTTTAAAATTTTTCCACTTGCTCTAAAGTGTCTTTTACAACTTTTTCCACCTACAAGAATCCAATCAAGCTGCATATATTACGTTTGGCTGTGACTTTTTCAACTCTAAATCTGGAAAAGTTCCCCTTTCTTTCCTGTTTTCTTATTGTTTGTTTTTGACATAACTTTTTGAAGAGTCCAGTCAATTGCCTTGTAGAATGTTCTACATTCAGGATTTGGCCAATCATTTACTTATGACATTGTTAAACTCATTTCTCTATCCCTTGTATTTCCTGTACATTGAAAATTAGGGTTTTAGTTTGGTTTAGATTCAAATTAAACAATATGAACAAGAACATTTCATGGGGGTGCACATTAACAAACACGTGATATCAGGTGGTCCACTGCTAGAATGTGAATTTTGATGACAAGGATGGGTATTTTCAGAGTGGTGTCAGGTTGTTCATTGCTAGCAATGTGAGTTTTGATGGAAATGATGGGTATTAGAAAGGTGCACTTTATCCAATTAAGGTAGTCAGTAATTTGTAGCGCAGTATTTGTGACTATCTTGTTATTCAACAACTTTCTCAAGTGGTTGTCACTGACAACCACTTGACTGGATCAATTGCTACTGTAACGATTTTAAAAATGAAATCTTGCCAATTCTATAATTTCTCCTACATTTATTAGCAGGCAGACTGCTGAAGGTTTTCCTTTTTTCCTTTTTTCATTATTTTAACACCCATCACCCCTACCTCTTTTCCCCTCAAATACCACTATGGTCCTATTTTTAAACAATTATACTGAGGACTAATTTGAGTACAGTAAAATGCACCCATTTCAGTGGTAAAGTTTGAGTTTTGATAGATGCATAGAGTTGTGTGACCATCACCACGATGAAGATACAGAAACACTTCCACTACCCAAAATTTCCCTCCTGCTCTTTGCAGTTAATTTCCTCACTTCACCCCTAGGAACCACTGATCTAATTTGTATCATTACAGTTTTGCTCTTTAAGAATTTCATTTAATGGAATCATATTATAGTATACAGTCTCTGGTGTCTGGCTTCTTTCACTTTGTGAAACACTTTTGAGACTCATCCATGTTTTTGCATGTAAAAGTAGTTGTTCCACTGTATTGAGTAGAATTCCACTGTATAGATATAGCACAATTTGCTCATCTGCTTACCAGGTGACGGATATTTGGGTTGGTTGCAGTTTGAGGTTATTATGAACAAAGTTGCTGTGAACATTCACTTACTGCTATTTGTGGGACCATAAGTTTCATTTCTTTTAAGTAGATACTTAAGAACACAATGGCTAAGCACAGGTTTAACTTATGAAAATGTCAAACTTTTTCAAAATGATTAGACTATTCTAAATTCTGAATTGCCCAGCAATGTATGAGAGTTCAAGCTGCTTTGCCCTTTGCCAGCCAATACTTGCTATTTTCAGTCCTTTTAATTTTAGTGATTTCAGTGTATATAATGTTATCACTGTAATTTTGATTTGCTTTTCTCTGATGACTAGAAACATTGTGTACTTTTTCATATATTTATGTGTCTATCTTTTTTGGAAATATGTCTATTTAAATATTGGACCCCAGTTTTAATCAGGGTACCTTCTTAATATTAAATTATAAGAGTTATCTGTGTATGTTAGACACTAGTCCTTTATTAAGCATACGCTTTGCAAATATTTTCTCCCAGTCTTTGGCTTGACAATTTATCATTTTCTTCTGCAGTTCAGGTATGCTGTATGTAAGAAGTATTTGCCTAAGCTACAATTGCAATAACAAAAAAATTCTCCAATTCTTTTTCTCCAGAAATTTTATGGTTCTATGATCCATTTCAAGTGAATTTTGTATTGAATGGAGATGGGTGTGTTTAGTAATACCACTTGCTGATCAGACTGTCCTTTCCCTCCACTTAATTATCTAGACATCTTTGCCAAAAAGTAATTGACTGTATAACTGTGGTCTATTTGGGGATTCTATTCAAGTTATTGATCTATCTTCTAACCTAACGTCAATACCACAATTTTGACTTAAGTAGCTTTATAGGAAGTCTGGAAATTCAGTACTGTAAGTTCTCTTCATTTCAGGTTTTCTTGTTCCAGAAATGTTTTTACTATTCTAGGTTCTTTACATTTCCAAATAAAGTTAGAATCAGCTTATACCTGATTCTATCAATTCCAGACAATTTCTACCAAAAAAAAAAAAAAAAAAGCCTGTCAAGGTTTGTTGGGATTACACTAAATTTATATATAAACAATTTGAAGATTAGCATTTTTAATGACATAAAAACTGACTCATAAAAACTGTATCTCTCATTTACTTACATCAGTCTTTTTTCACTTCTCTCAACAATGCTGGGTAGTTTGTAATGTACAGATCTTTCACATATTTTGTCAAATTTATCCCTAAGTATTTCATGTTTTATGATGTTATCTAAGTGGTATTATTGTATATCACTAAGTGTATCACTTACTCAATGGCTTTTATTTATTCAATATATTGCAATCTATTACAGTCGTTATTCTTTTTTGATGCTCAAAATTCCAAAATTTTACCAGTGCAAGTGCCATCCAGTCGGCTCCTGTTTCCTTTTGAGGTGATTTCATTAGGCTGAGCATCTTCTAGGTTGGGGAACAAGATTCATCAGGCTCACCTTGTATCTCCCTTGTGTGAATCCCTTTATCAAGTAAAAAAAAAGCACCATCATGGCAGGCACTCTGCTAGGGGTGGAATGGAAACCAGGATGATGCTCACAATTAGAATACCACTTGTATCCCCAATTGTGAAGTCTGTCCAGAAGGCAGAAATTAGGTGGTCCTTTACTGAAAAACTCTTTTTTATCAAATCAGGCATTTTTCTCCAAAATTCTACCCTCACAATGAACCTCACTCAGGTTTGTGAAGATAAGCATCCAAATACTAATGCCTACCTTGCCAAGTATCCATAAGTAAGGTACACATGTCTCTAGAATTAGACCAGAAGGAACCAATGAGTTCTCAGGCTTAAATCTGGTACAGTCTCTAAAGGGGGAGATGTGAAGAAGAAGTAAGAAATCCTTACTTTTAGGCTGAGGCAGGAGAATGGCATGAACCTGGGAGGCAGAGCTTGCAGTGAGCTGAGATTGCACCACTGCACTCCAGCCTGGGCGACAGAGCGAGACTCCGTCTCAAAAAAAAAAAAAAAGATATCCTTACTTTCTTCTCTTGTGAATAATTAACACTGTAATCTTAAACTAATGAGCAAAGTAAGAAATTAATGTTCTATCAGTGGTTTCCCATCCAGCACTGGAATATCAAGGCACTGAGAATGTCCAGAGAAAACCATAGCTAGAAAAAAAGTGTGCTGTTTGCCCTCCTGCCACCAACTTGCCTTTCTAGCACTCCCTCCAGGTCCAATCTTCTTGCTGACTTTTTCCCAAGCGTGTTCTAGGAGTGGTACTGCGTCTAAGAATTACAGTCCAGTTTCATAATCCAATCTTTCTTCTTTGTACAACTGCTTGTGGTGACACTGGAATGCTTTATATCTAATAAGATAGTGCTTTCCTGGCTTTTCCCCAAGTTATTCCTTGCTGGACACACTTTCACTTTTTTATACAAAAAAAAAAAAACCACAATTATTTTCTACATGGAAAGAGGAATGGTGAGTTATGGCTAAATTCGTAGACAAACAGGAAACAACCTCACTGCAAATTAAGACTGAAAGAACTTACTTGTTAAACCTCCCTTCCCTAATGAAAAGGGAAATATGAACAATTTTGATGAGCTAAAACGGGTGTTAGAGAGTTCAGGTAATTCACTGGAAGTGCTCAGAGCTAAGAAATTAGTAGAGGTGAATACAACCTCGTCTGGTCAGAAAAGGTTCTAACCACACTACACTACCTAAGAACTAAAAAAAACCAATGTAACTTTCCTCTAGGCCACAAACAGTTGTATATTTAACTTAGTTTTATTCAATTTTAACCCAAACAGCCCCAATTTTTATTTGGTTAAAATTTTCATTCATATTTTTCATGATTGTAACCTGGCTTCAGTCAATTCAGGTGTGATTCTATTAATAAGGTCTCCATAGTCCTTCCCAGCATAGTTCTCTACTGAACAAATCCAGAGAAAAGTCAACTCTCACCTTGATATTTTATGACAACAAATAAACTCCTAAACGGGTCTAGACTGTTTTACATAAGCTAAGTACAATTTGGGGGGAAAAATTAAAACTTAATCATTTATAAACCTTCTATCACTAATTCATAATTCTTGGAAATATCCTTTTGTTAATAAAATGCAATCCAACTTTGTTTTCATTTTAATCACAGGCAGTGGTAGATAATAAAGGAACACAGGTTGTTGCAAGACTCAACAGCCAGTAAATCTTGTTATTGGTCTTAAATTAGATAAATTGAGTAAGTGATGATAAAGCATTGTAAACTTGTTTGGGAATCCACAATAAATAAGAGCCCTAAGGCAGAATAACAACCATTCATTGCTTCAGTGGGTAAGAACCAAAGCATTAATTGTTTAATATTATTATGCTACAAGCAATAGTAAAAATGGCAAAAACAAAACTAGGAACAGCTTGCCATCACTAGGGAGTGAGATATGGTCAGGGATTATAAAGCATCACATTGTAATCAACCACTACCCTCCAAAATATCTTACAGTGCATCAAATAATTTCTCTGCCTCCTGCTACACTTACAATCTCTTAGAATTCTGTTTCTCTTTTCAGGCTACTGTCACTGAAATCTGGGCAAAGAGTGATTTTGGTCCAACACATTCTATGCTAAGGAAGTCTAGAAATCCCCCAGAAAGAAAAATCATGGCAGAGAAGAATTTGCCATCCTCTGTAGCACCAGATGGCACAGATAAAGGGATGTTGTACACTCCAGCTCAGCAACGAGGTAGTTTTATCACTGTCAATTTATACATGCCCCAAAGGTGCGCAATCCAAACTAATGTGGAGATTCTTCAATGACAGCTGAGACTGAAATATTCCATCTGTGTTTAATACAGCGATTGCATCCTTTATTCTCCGATGAGAGCTTTTCAGAGTATCACTATGTGATTTTTTCTTTCAAAAGACAAAGGCCTTCCCACTACTTTTTTTTTTTTTCTTTTTTTTTTTACCCCTGCATCTGTCTGCAAGATTGCTTTTAGGAGGATGGTATAAGTTTAAGAAACAAAGCTAAGTACTCTTCCACCTTTAGTTCTAACATCAATTTGAACCTTACAAAACTACATACTAATTTTGCTATATATGACAAAATGCAGTCACACAGGAAATCTGCTTACAGAGCAGTATAATTATGCTATAGAAATTAACTATGTAAGGCTGGGCAAGGTGGCTCACATCTGTAATCCCAGCACTTTGGGAGGCCAAGATGGGCAGATCATCTGAGGTCAGGAGTTTGAGACCAGCCTGGCCAACATGGCAAAGCCCCATCTCCACTAAAAATACAAAATTAGCATGGTGGTGGGTGACTGTAATCCCAGCTACTCGGGAGGCTGATGCAGGAAAATCGCTTGAACCTGGGAGGTGAAGGTTGCAGTGAGCCAAGATTGTGCCATTGCACTCCAGCCTGGGTGACAAGAGCAAAACTCTGTCCGTCTCAAAAAAGAAAGAAAGAAAGAAATTAACTATGCAAAACCCAAGGAATAGTCACTGTGTGTGTGTGTGTGTGTGTGTGTGTGTGTGTGTGTTTGTGTGTGTGTGTATCTGTAACTAGAAAGTAGAAAGAATAATGCTTTACATAAAGATACAAAAAAGGAGGAATCAATAATCCTGGGAGTCGGAACCATATAAATACTAATTTTGTTTTTCAATTTATTCACTTTTTCAGAGTTAAAATAGATAAACAAAAAATTTTTTTTTAA
This sequence comes from Homo sapiens, assembly GCF_000001405.40. NCBI lineage: Eukaryota > Metazoa > Chordata > Mammalia > Primates > Hominidae > Homo > Homo sapiens. The sequence goes on along the minus strand of NC_000002.12, from coordinate 204,729,824 downwards.
AATATGGGTTATCAAAAGGGTTAAATTGTCCAAAACAGGGGTACAATAAAAAATAGGGGTCATTCTTAAGCTATGAAAACAATAAAAAATACAACAGCGTATTCTAATGATTTAAAAAATGAGATCAAAATGTTTTCTAAATGGTTCTCTGCCACAAGATGGAACAATGCACCTTTCATTATCTGGGGACTTAGAATTTAATATTATCTGAAGAGGATAATTTAAGAAACAAAGTTGTAATATGTTATTGATATATTAACACTTTGAGACACGAGATGTCTGCTCGGTATCACATTTCAAGATTATACTGAAAAACACATTTTAAGCATCTGTGAGATGGACTGTCATTGATGGTTTGATCAGACTGACCTTTAGCTTTATGGAAACAGAGGCTGGGGAATGAGCCAGTTAACACCTACAAAAGCACAATTGGCCTCTTCTCCTTAAGGGGGTAGGCAAGAACCCAAGGAATACGGTGAGAGTTTTAAAATCTCTTAAAGTCTTTATTCTGCAAGAGCCAGTTCTGAAAGAGACATCAGTATCAATGTAGAAAAGATTTGGCAATGAAAGGAGCCAAGTGCTTGCTTTCTTTATTTCAATAATCCATGAAGATTGGCGAACAGCAGTCACAAACACACAGTTGCATGACTATGTGAGACCAATTAAAACTTGCAATCAAATGTGCTCTTTTGCATTATCAACAGAGAATATTCAAAGGCTTTGCATCAGGCTTCACCCAGGGACCCCCATCTCATGAGAACTCACCAAGATTCTTTCTTTACTTAACATATTCCAAATTCCAGACCCTAAATTCTACCTGTCAGCTTGTTCTGAAATAATGGAGAATGAAAATCTTTCTTTCTCTTTAAGAGTAATGTCCTCTCTCATCCACCATGTTCTAGAGCCTGGCTCCTCCTGGGTTCTGAGGGAGTCTGTCCTTCCCAATGTCTCTCTGAGCATCTTCAGAAGTTCCTTTCTTTCTGCTTTTGTTATCTAATAGCCTTAAATTAGAAGAAAAGACAACTGAAAAAGCAGAAAGATCACAGGAGTGGATTAAGATAAACTTCTGTTAAATCCTAGCTCAGCTACTCTCTATGTGATTTATGCAACTCACTGTTTTAAAATGATTTTCCCATTTGAAAAATAGGGAAGACAGTAACAATTTTACTGTCCCACCTAACTAGAATCTTCAGGAGGTTAAAAGGAAAAAAATCAAGTGAGCATGCTTTGCAACTGCTAGAGTATTACACAAATAGGTATCATGTAATGAATCCATTATAGGATCAATCTCATTCCAACAAATCTCCACCTTCTCCTTTACATTTCATACTGTCTACACTTACTGCCTCAGCCTCAACACCTTTTACTCTCTTAAGCTCCACACAGCCCAGCTGGCCCATTACACATGAACTTGTGTAGGATTTCTTCTTCCTGCATCTCATGTCATTGAGCATGATCCACACCATCCTGAAGCCCTTGTCTTCCTTAAGATCTTCTGAATTTCCTTCTCCTTGACCATTGTTCACTATGGTAGTAAAGTTGTGGGGCAGTCACTTACCCAACAACTTTCTAGAACCAGGCTGAGTATAAACTGTAAATAAATGGATTGAGAAATAAAAATGAAATCCTAACTGCCCGTCTTCCGAACTCATTGAACAAACTGCCTCTTCACGATGGAGAACCCAGGCAAATTTTAAAAACTGAGTTCCCGGCTGTGAGTGAAAGTGAGGTAGGACAATTTAATATGCATCCTCCCGCGCTAAGTGCCTTTAGGCTTTCTTCCCTAAGGGCTAAACAGAAACCAGCCCTTTCAGAAGACTTGCTGCACCGCTGATTTCACCCAGCCCCCTGACTGCTGCCTCTCCCTTTTGCAATTTTGACACAACAACCCACCAGCATTCCTTCCTGGTAAGAGACCACTGACCACTGAGTGGTCTGGCCAGTCTACAGAGGCTGCACACAGAGGGATTTGGCCTCTGCTTCACTTTTCGACATCAGAGGGCCAAAATCTCCACCCACTGATCATGCCAATGCCATTTTTTGAACACATGACCCATCTGGAAGCATGAAGCTCAATTGCACTTGGGTCTGTTTCTCCTTTCACAAGTATTCATGACCCCTGCTACAGCTTATTAAATACGTGTATTCAGCCACCCTGCCCAGCATAAATTCCTGTTTCTTTTACCTCTCCCTCGGAGTGCCTGTTTCTGGCTTCTGGCAGGAAGCTACCCTTTCCAGCCTGCCAGGATGGCCACCTGCAGGCCACAACTCTTTATGAGAAATAAAAGTCTTCCTTCCAAATCTATGAGCCTTGTCATTCTTCAGTTGACAGAACAAACATTCCACAGACAATTCACATATTTGCTATGGTAAAATTATAGAAAAACCATGACTGAAAATACTGGACCTATCCATGCTTAGAAACTAGACATCGACATGTAGTCTCCTATATAGCTGACTGCAGGATTCTGGATATTTTTAGTTTATTGAATTTAAAGTATTTCTAAAGGAGTGTAAGTCTATTAAAAAGTCTAGGCTCTTAATGAATCCTCATCTGTGGCTATTCAAAGAGAATGAAACATGTGTACACAAATATACAAGGAATAAACAAATAAAACAAACAAACAAACAAGAGCTGTGTTACCTAGCAGGCTAAGTCAGGGCCCATCAGCTCTGACACCAAGCTTCTCATTCTGTCCTAATGACCTTCTCATTGCATGCAGTATTTTTCTTAAGTTATTCCTTGATAAACTTCTCAAACTGTTCAAAGAGTTTCAATGAATCAAAGGTCAGAAATGTGAACAGCAGAACGTGCAGGGCGGGGAAGGGAAGGATCATGTTCTCCTTTAAACAACTCATTTAAGCAACTTGTCTGAGAAAGGAAAACGATTAAAGAATTGTAGAAAAATGAATGCAAGGAGGAAATAAAGGCAGCTTGTTTGTTTTCCCAACTTGGTTTTAAGAAAACAGAGCCTTCATGTTTACAGGCTCAGATGAGTCCACGCAGCAGAGAGGCTGAAGACAGGAGAAAGAAGGGACATGTGAAGTTAAAAAGAAAAGTTTCCAGCAAGAAGGGAGGAAATGCAATTGAAAAGGCAAGTATGAAAATTAGCCTTGGGTAGGAGAAGCAATCCCAAGTCTCCAGTGCAGAAATTAATACATTTTGTATACAATAAGGTAAGGAACTGAGAAAGTTGAATCCCATCTCAAGGTCATTGTTTTTGTTCTGTAAGGCAGCTAGGAAGATCATGGACTAAGAGGTAAAAGGTTAGAGATGCGGTTGGGGCTTCACTGGGGCTTTGAGGTTTCAGAATCACCCTTGACGCCAACATTGAGGGAGGCAGCCAAAGGGTAGATGATAAAACAGTAAAAGCAAATGCTATTTCCATGCTTTTATTTTTCAGTCCAAAGGCCTTGACTCCATTGCCCTAAAACATACTCCAACTTCTAGGGTGCCATCTTGAAAATGTTGAGATCAGGGATGAGTGAGGATGAACCAGCAGCTAAACTGGGAATACATTTTAAATGAATACTCAATTAGTGATGCTTCAGCAATTCTTTACCTTCAAGGTCAAATTCTCATTAAAATTGCATTACTCTTCATAAGAAAAGGTACATTCCTTTATCTGTCACCACCCAACATAAGCATAATAATGAACATAAACATCACTTCTCTTTTACTGAGCGAAGCTATGCTGACAGCAAAGAACTTCCTATATGTACAGGCATGGCAGATCCACTGATGGGTGGTCCGCAGCCCTAGCTGGACTCAATCTGTCTGTTAGTTAATGTTAATAGCCACTGTTTGCACAGGTTGCCACTGTGGCGTTCTGCTTCTTAGCTTCCCAATCAGCATGACATTTTTCTTCCAACTGAGCTAGTCCATCTCTGATTTCTGCTGTGCCAACATGGTCTGTCAGCTACTGTCACTTCCCAGATGTCAGCAGCTATGTGACATTGGTAGGAATCATATCAGAATTGTCCTTGAAACATTTACTGTTACCTCCCATAAGTTTACAGAGTTGGCCTCAGGGGCATTGCTTTGGTTTTCTGGTTGTTTTTTGTTTGTTTGTTTTTTAAGTCTCACAAGGATACCCTAACAATGGAAGGCAACAGTTTACTAAATAGTGGGTGCACATATTCCAAAGCCTCAAACTCACTCATGCATAAAACCTTATTGTTTGAATACATAAAATATGTAAAGTAGATATCTTAGACTTTAACATCCTGAAGATGACGAGTGGATGTCAAACCATATGACACCATTATGGAAAAGAAGCTCTTCTGACTTGATTATAGTTCTAAGGTATTAAGTTTTATGGCATTCCCAGGTATAAATTCAAATGACAACAAGAAAAATAAAATATGGCAAATGAAACAAATTATAGCAGAATTACAAAGTAAAATTACTGTGTTTGCTATAGTTTTTACATTAATCATATTTTCTGGTTAAATTGGAAACATTAAGGTACGTTTTCACCTACATGTTCAAAGCAATTTGTCTTGCTTTTTCCAGATTAAAAAAGATCACATCTCTTTCCATGTTGATATCTTATTCTCTAACATTCTCCTTAATCATGTCTGCCAAACTACCTTTTACGTCATATAAATAGTTCCCTCTACTGTCTGATTAAGTGGTATTTTGAAATGGATTATTCAAATAACCATAATTCAAACAAAAGAGGAAAATCTCCTGGAAAAAAAATCTAGATTTGTCTTTCCTCAAATTCAATCTCCTCTACTATTTTTAAACTTGTTCTCCACTATAATTCAAAGTAGAAATTTCTATCACACCAGTGAGTCTCTTACTCTGTTTTTATTCATGACATTAAGCCGCTTCCCTATTTTCCACTTCTTGCCCTGCCTAGCGGCCCAGTCAAATTCTAACAACTGCAAATAGACTGGATCAGTTCTAGTTCTCTATCACTTCTTCTCCTCTCATGCTAACCCACAGCCATCCTGTCTTCCCCCTACCCACCCCCGCCCCCCACTATTCGATGACATATATGGCCTCTATTACTTTTTCAGCAACATAATTAGACTTTCAAGTATACCTTGTCTCTATAATACGATCATGAACTCCTTGAAAGCAAGGACAGTATTTTCTACTATTTGGTATCTCCTACTACTCCACTTCCATAGTCACTCCATAAATAATTAATAAACTGAATATCAAAGGGTCACCTCTCCAAGTTATGCAGCACACCTATTATTCAGCCCAAAATGTTGTAGATAATCAGAGGGAATTCCTGGAAGAGAATTTTTAACTACCCACTGATGACCGAGGTCACCCAAAACAGTGAAAAGCAAATTTATACTGAATAAGAAAGCAATAATTTATTAGTGAGGGAATACCTAGATGAATGACACAAATAATTAATTTTAGAGTACATCCTTGCTGTGAATACATTACTGAGTACTGCTCCAGGTGGGGCATAAAATCCATAAAAGATTTCAGTCTGAATCAACCGTAAGATTTGAAGACATTGTGACTTTGAAACACTATATTATTTGCTAGTATCTTCTAAGAAAAAGGCAAACTAAAATGCTAAAGAGAGGCTAAATATTAGGATTTTGATTAGCAACAATACTTGAGAAATATAAATGATTGCCAATGAAACTTTTCTTAACAAAACCAACTATATCTACTGCTTTTTTAAGGTGAATGGCAAGAGAATATTAAGAAAAGTGCTTTGGAATATCAAAAGTAATGCTAAGGATTCCAATGAAAGCTGTGCATATGGAATTTCTGACCAAGAATAGAATATAATGAGACTAGCATTAAGGAAAGGCATTAGCCATAAGGTCAGTAATTTGAAGAATAACATTTTTCATGTTCTTGTGTTATGCCCAGAAGGTGTATAAGAACTCAAATCAGCAAATTTATTACTTGCATAGGAAAAAAAATCACTATTTCTTGCCAGAAGAAATTTGGAATTTACTTTCAGGTTATATAAGTAATTAGGTTACACCAGCATGTTGATCACAATATGCTGGCTTTCCTCAAATATCTTACTTGGTCAATTTTCAATTTATTGCCATTATACTCACTTTCTCCTATAATTACTATGAACTTTATCACTCCATCATCCTGCCCCTCACTGCCTCAACTCCCCTTCTAGTGAATGACTTATCACACTACACTTTTCATCCATTCATGATTTCCTATCCTATTTGCAATTATAAAAACTGACAAGACTTGCTTTCCCTTAAAAACAGAATGTGGCTTTAAACTCTGAGGTTCTGTAAGGTAAACACAGAACAAAGGAACTCCCTTCAAAACATATAATAAAGCATTAAGAAATTGATTCTTGTTTTTGGACTGTTATCATAGTGAATAATGAAAAATCCAATAAACCAAATGACAAAATCTTACTTTTTGTTCTTTGGCAAATTTGAAAGAATACAGTTGAATGTCTTTAGCTTACTCAGAAACATAATTAAGCTAATTTTTTCCCAAAAATTACAAAAACATACAAAATATATGTATTATGTCTATAAAGTAATTGATTTGAATCGTTTATGAATTCTCCATAAATGTATCAATTTCATTTTTAATGCATTCTTAATTTTAAAAAATCAACTGAATCATTAACAATGGCTAAGTCAACTTAAAACCAATCTACTTATACTTTGTTAAAAACATACTCAACAGCATCTAAAAGTTTGTGTTGGCATGAAAAGATGGATCTATAACAATTCAAGGTAATTATTTTGAGAAAATTAAGAAAGGTGACTCAGGAAATATTTTCTTCTATATTAAGAAGTGGCCAAATGGCTATACATAGAATATCAACCAATCACCTCCCAGAGATAACAAAAGTGTCAATATTTATAAAAATTACTCCCCAATTGCCAAATTTTGATGAAACAATACCCCATTCTATGCTAATTTTTGCCAGCTGGCCTTGACTCACCATTTTCAGCAGAGGGAAAGAGTGGGAGTCAGAAGGTGGAAGTGAGAGCCAGACAGCATAGCCTTCATCCCTTTTCAAATAACCAGGGAGCTGCAGGACAGTGTCCTGCCCATATTCAGAAGATGCCCCCACCAGAGCTCCACAGAACTAACGCATTGTAAACTTCATAACTTGTGAATTTTAAGTACTCACGAAAGTCTTGGTATTTCTCCTTCCTTATTAACAAGGACCAAACCCAGTATTTCCTGGAATTGATAAATGAAAAAGAGCATGATACCTGTCCAACCGATGAGAGTTTACGTCAGCCCTAAAGCCTCGTATCTCTTCTCGCTAGTCAAGAAATGTATAGACAAGATGCTAATAGAGCTGCCTTCAACAAAAGGAAAAAAATTGAGCAATGGGCATGGTAACCAACATGATTATTCCGAGAAGCATTTCAGGGTCCTGGTTTTAATTTAAACTGTAGAAGTTAGCCAATCTAATCCAACAGCACTGTCATCCAAGACACTGTCACTGCCAAAGCATTTGTCAGCCAGATATGATGAGATAAACTAGTCCCAAGATACAAGAAAGACATTGTTAGACATTTATTGTTATGCCATTAGAAAGTCAAAACAAATTCTACTTCATAGAACATCTTGACCAATGAAGCAGAAGAGGTAATTTTCTAACAAGTAATTAACTCAATCTACAGGATCCAATTATTTGTCAATAGATACAAAGTTTATTTCAATCTCTTTTGTTTGTAAAATGGAGAAAAGAATGATGAAGAAAATATTTTTGATTTGTGGTATCCTACTGATTTTAGTATAATTGAAATCTATAGACACCTTGTCATAGGATGTAAACATTAATGATTATCTAACAGAGGTATCATTTTTTCACCACTTATTCATTGGGTGTTTTTGTGCCAGACACAGTGGCAAGGCACTAAAATATCATTAGAGTTTCTTACAGTTTACAAAGTGCCTCTGCATGCAGAGGTAGTTCTTAATAAACTGGAGATAGAGGGTCACAAAGAACACAAAATCACTGTTAAAAGTGGTCAAGAAATGCATACTTATTGAATTAAAAGTTCATTCAAAATTAGAGTTCTACAAGTATCACCCAAAAATGTAAAATCAATTCAAATATAATAACTTAGGAATACAAAGGAATCACATAATTTACTAGAAATGGCCAAAAGGATACTGACTACTAAAATACCTTTGCCATTTTTATCAAGTTTCTTTTCAAAAATATTTTTAAATATAATGAATTTGCATGAAAAATAGTTTGACACCACGAAAAATGCTGTCTTTGCCATCGAAATATTGTGCCATAACATTCAGGTCAAAAATGAGAAATAAATGGCTCTTAATCTATATCTAATTTAAAGATATGTTAAATTGGGCTCACATTTTCATAAAAATGTAGATTTCTAACTGAATCTATAAAACTTTAGTCCACTTTCCTACATGGCAACAACTACTAGAGATGCCACTTTAAAAGAGCCCCTCCAGCCTCTGAAACGACTGGCCCTTTTTCACTAGCCTGAGTCACCTCCTAGACTCTTACAGGGGGGAGTATGTGCCTCCTGTAGGTAGTTCCCATTTTATGTATGTTAACCAGCTTCATATTCCACCACTGTCCTCTCTTCACTACCAAGTGCCGTAAATAATTATTACTGCTGAGTGTCTTAAACTCTAATTCACAGGTAGAAAACTACTTATTGTCTCCCTCAATATTTATTCTAACTTCTTTTTGGTAATAAAACCAACCAAGTTTTAGCTGTATACTTGCCTGCAGCTTACAGACTACCTTTCCCCACCCTGCTTTGCAGCGAGGTGAGATCTCATGACTAAGTTATGACCACAGATTCTGATTCAGTAGGTCTGGAGTAGTACTCATTCTCAGATTATAATTTAATCTGGGGTGGCACCCAAGAGTCTTTTTTTTATGTTCCTTATATGAATCTCATTTGACACTTCTTATATTAATCTAGTATATAGACAGGGTTACTGCTAAAGCATGGTAGAGTGATGAAAAGAACATCTGAGCGCAAGATGCTTGGTTTCCACCCCCAAACTACCTTCAGCTGAAACTTCCGCATGAGAAAGAAATAAACATTCCATCTTGTTGAAGCCACTATTATTTGGCCTCTGTTAAAGCAGCTGGACACATAACCTGATATAACAGGTACCGGATGGCAACTAAGGTTCTTACACCAATCACCTGCTGACAGTACCAAACCTGCATTGTCTGATCAAAAGTAGACAATGTTTTTTTCAAGTTTAACTTTTCCCTTTTGCTTTTGTCTTCTGCTTCAAGATCTCAATGAGATACAAAAGACATCAATTTATCCTTTCTTTTTCAACCATCAGCCATCTGATTTCTTTTTCATATTACAATGGAAATTGTTTAATGGTATACTTTTCCCAGTTGACTGATAACTTCTTTGAATGTTAAGCAATATGCAGTTTTCACTTAGATTCCAATATTTTAAGTTGGGTCTATTTTATCACATTTACATTTTAAAAGACCCAAACCATGTTACTGTTTAAATTTGTACAGACCACACACAAAAACGCAGTTCATGGCCATGACTACAAAAGCTACATCATGGACTGGCAAAAGCACCAAGGATTCTCACGTGGCAACAGACCTAATGTAGCTTCTATCCGTTACCAAGCAACTCCAAACGAGATGTTATTCAGTATATGGATCATTTCTGCTGGCTCGCAGTATTTAAAACTGTAAGAGTAAAATGTCTATTATTATTTTAGTATAATTAATCCAAACACCAACTAATCTACTGCTAAATAACAGAGTTGACTATATTCTCATTAGACCTTCACAAAAAAATGCCATAAAGACAGCAATGTCATGTGCCTCTTTACAGACACATACAAAGAAACCTCAAAAAAAGGAGTAATTTCAAGAGGCAAAAGCTTAAGCAAAACTCTTACTCAACACAAAATTCAGGGAGAGAGGATATGAATGGATACATTCTTCCTGAGATTTACTCACAACTATAGAATAGTATTTAAATAGTTCGATTTACCTGTTGTTTTTAAGTATTCAAAGTTTCAAATGATTATTTATTTCCTATAATTTAACTTATCTTCTGTGAAAGGTATTATTTACCTAATTCAGTGGCACATTAAAAATTAATTTACATATCATGATGAAATTCAAGGTTATAAAAAAAGACAATTAAATCAGTAATAATACTTCTTGTTTCTTTTCAGTTATTGTTATAGTGTAATGTAACATAATACATTAAAATATTTCAAGGAAAACCAAAGTTTGGTAACATGCAAGAACTATGTGAAAAGGCAAAATGAAATAACCAGAAGGTTACATGTGGTTAAGAATCAGCATATTTTCAGCAAAATTACAAGTTTTTAAATAAAGACACTCACTTCACATAGCATTACAGTGAATTAAATTAGCAGTTAATTTATAGTTTAAAGATATCTGCTATTAAGATGATCAAAGATTTTCATTACTTAAATTTTCTGTCTATTCAAATATCAACTTTAATTTTAAAAATGAAGAGACAAGCATTTGAAGGCATTTGGCCCTAATTCCTCAACTGTTTGCTAATCCACTAGGCTTTGAAAACATACCTCAATCTACAAATAGTCTCCGTTAGCCTTGCTGGCTGTGAAATAATTATTCCATTAAGACTATTATAACAAAATACTTTCCATTAAAGTAATCCACAAGATGTGCTTTCGAAAAGTTTTGTTAGAAGCCCCGTCTTTAACAAAATGAAGCCATATATTAAGAATGAAGTTCAATAGTATGAAAAACAACTATGAACATACTCTTTTCAAAACTATTAGAAAATTATCTGTTTTGGTTAATTAACTGTTATCTCTCCACTGGATCATAACTTCTCCCAATGTGTATTTTATTCCTGGTTGTAAATCCCACCAATGTGTCCTGAAACGAGGCAGAACTGTACAAATTTGATTAAATATGTCAGGAGTAATCATGATTAAAATGCAACGATACATATATGTGTTATTACCTGACTCATTTTCAGTTTCTGAAGGAACCAGGGTTACATGTCATGTGACTGGCCTCAAACTCAACACAACTGATTGCTCAGGGATACACATATCTCAAAGGCAGCCAAGGGCTTGTTTGGCTTGGCTTACAGAGATAAACTAAAGAAAGCTGGTACTCTTGCTCCCTGCGAATCTGACCCAAGACCCAAGAGACTACTGCTAGGCAATGGTTGATGTTGAATCTAATAAGTCATAACAATGTTGAGGATGGAGGTCACATGCAAAGTCAGTGACATGGTTTGGCTCTGTGTCCCCACCCAAACCTCATCTCAAATTGTAATCCCCACATGTCAAGGAAGGGCCCTGACAGGAGGTGACTGGATCATGGGGGTGGTTTCCCCTATGCTGTTCTCACGATAATGAGTTCTCACAAAATCTGATGGTTTTGTAAGCGGTGGTTTCCCCTGCTGTCTCCTCTCTCCTGCCACCTTGTGAAGAAGGTACCTGCTTCCCCTTCCGCCATGATTGTAAGATTCATGAGGCCTCCCCAGCCATGCAGAACTGTGAGTGAATTAAACCTCCTTTCTTTATAAATTACCCAGTCTCAAGTATTATTTATAGCCATGTGAGAACAGACTAATGCAGTAAGAAAAAATGCATCATGGGGAGGAGGGAAGAGACACAAAATGAGAGAGAGAAAGCATATAGACACTCCTCCCATCCCCCACGACCAAAGAAATAGAAAAAAAAAGATAACACAAATGCTGAGACATTAATTTCTTCAGGTCCTGACAATTTTTCCCTTCCTGCTTTCATTTCTCATGATACGTGCCTTTCTCCCCTCGGGTTCTCTAAAATAAAACTAGTGTGTGAGACTCTGTTCCTTGAAACCAAAAGAGCCATAATTGGAACATTCACATAACCTTAAAAGACATGTAATATATGTAAATTTGGTCTGAGGTGATTCAGCAGAACTGTCATCACAAATGTCAATCACTATGGCCATGGAGCATACAAACTGAGAACGAACCTATTGAGCTGAAGCTATCCCTTCCCTGGTTGTCAGTGACTGACAAGCAGCCACATCTGTGCTACTGCTGTGCCAGTCATCCAAGGCACAGATGCCACCTCTTCCACGTCACATCCTGGCCATCTCTCCAGATACTTCCATCACCCTCAGGTTCTTTGTCTAGTTCCCAATTTGGCTCTGTGACTACCCAGCCACCTGCCTTTATTTGACATAGAGATGACCGTGGCTCTCACTGCAGTTCTCACTGCTCATTCTATAATGTTCATCATTCCTTTGGATTTCTGTCCAACTGCTCATTCTCTAGCCCCTAAACAATTCCAATCTTCTCTCCAGGCCACCACCAACTCCACCAGACACCTAAACTAGCTGAAATACCATCAAAAGGAAAAAAACTGTCACTTGTTCACGTGACAGGGATAACATGGGGAAAAACAGGATGAGAGTTTTAAAAAGGTGGGAAAATGGAAAGACTCAAATGGCATTTTCTTACCTAGCATTTGCAAGTGGATTCAATTAGGAGAAAAAGCCTATGAGGGTCATTAACAATTTTTAATTAATTATTCATAAAAGCATATTCTTGGACTTAAAAGAGTTAAAAATATTTTAATATTAAGCCAAAATTCTTAGATCTGAGTACCCAAGTCTCAGGTTTCTCTAAATCTATTTCCTAAAGAGTTAAATAATATTTGGGTTTTACACAAAGGTACTTATGCTTCATGCTTCTAAATCTTAGATCACTTTATTTAGCCTATCATCACGACTAACTGGTTCATTCTGCGATAATTAAGGGAATGAGGTGCACAGTCCATTGCAGCAAATCCTGAAGGGAAATATGAATGGATGAAATTTCTCCCAAGTACCCCACTCCAAACTACATCAACCTAAAGACATCAGAAAACCTTACCCATACACGCTTCTTCCACAGCACGTTATTAGGTTAGTGCAAAAGCAGTTGCTGGGCCGGGTGCGGTGGCTCACGCCTGTAATCCCACCAATTTGGGAGGCCGACGCAGGCAGATCACGAGGTCAGGAGATTGAAACCATCCTGGCTAACATGGTGAAACCCCATCTCTACTAAAAATACAAAAAATTAGCCAGGCGTGGTGGCGGGCGCCTGTGGTCCCAGCTACTCAGGAGGATGAGGCAGGAGAATGGCGTGAACCCAGGAGGCGGAACTTGCAGTGAGCCGAGATCGCGCCACTGTACTCCAGCCTGGGCGACAGAGCAAGACTCCGTCTCAAAAAAAAAAAAAAAAAGCAGTTGCTGTTTTTGCCATTACTTTTAATAGCAAAAACAGCAACTGCTTTTGCATCAACTCAATAATTTTACATACAGTCCATTTCCACTGTCTTCCCCAAGTACATCCTTTAGTGCTCAAAGATCCATGTTCTCATTGAAGAGTCACTCCTTGTCTAACGGATTAAAATCTCCCTCACTACATTCCAAGATGGCAGTATAACTCTGGCCCCCTAAGCCAGTGTTTTTCAAATTTTCATGTATATACAAATCGCTAGGGTTATTGTTACAATGCAGATTCTGATTTGGTAGGTCCAGAGTGGGGCCCAAGACTCTTCATTTCTGGGTGATGCTCATGTTGCTGATCTGTGGCCCACACTCTGAGTAGCAAGGCACTACACTGTTAACTCCATACCAGATGTAAGTGGACCAATAGCAACCAGACTGGAGACTATTACTATCTCTTAGGGATAGTAAAGAGCTCAATATCTTGATATTTATTCAATAAGCATTTATTGAACTTCTAATAAATGCTCTGCTGAGATACAAATGCAATTAATAATTAGTTCCTACATTTAAAGTACTCATTGGCTGAGTACTGTTCAAATAACAGCATGCGTAAGAGTTTTCTGCAGCATTTGTCAATAATGTAAACCCATGGTCTTATTTGAGTACATCAGGGTTGAGGCCTATGAATCTGTGTGCCAGGCGAGTGACAGTTCAAACTGAGGAGTGCTGGTTTCACGGAGCAGAGAGATAATTAAAAAACTAGATGACACATTGAATTTAAGAAAAAGCAATGTAGAATGGCAGCTCAAAGGATGGGACGTTGACCAGGGCAGATTCACAGAAGATGTACGGGAGTATAACTGGCAGTAAAGGGAGAAAGAAGCATATGTGAAAGGTCAGCAGTAAGCAGATGCCTCAATTAGGCTGCAAAGAGCCAAGCAGCCCCCAAACTTTTCTCTTCTATAGAAGATCTTCTCTAAGACTCCTTGCAAATTTCAAACAGAGGAATATGACTAAAGCCTTCTCATATGTTTTACACATAAGTTTGGTCACAAAAGAAAGTAGTTTGGCTTACGATTTACGTTTTAACTGATCAAGTGCCAGAAACACTCAGTTGCATAGTCAACAGCAGCAGAAAAAAAAAAAAAAAGAAAAACAGCATCTGCTTTAGAAAAAAGTTGAATAAACTGAAATAGCCTGAAGAGCAGACTTTTCTAATGAAAATACAAATTCTTGTCTGGTGAAATCTACAGGAAAAAGAATCCACCCACTACAAAAATGAATGGTTTTCAAGAATACATTTTAAAAAGAATTTTGCTCTTAAAATTTGTCAGAATCACAGGGAAGTAAACTTTACTGAGATTAAATACAGTCTTCATTAGGCACAGGGATCCCATATTAAATTTTAAAAGTGATTGGGTAATAACTACTATTTTAATCATTTTATTTTCTTAGAAATACTTCTTCACCTTTGACTTCTGAACACAAGGATTTCTAAAGAACACTCCCCTTTCAAAAGCAACTACAACCTCAATACAAACAGTTTCATAGAGATTAGTAAAGTATACTCTATATTCACTTCAAGGATGCCTTATTGGTAAGCCTTTCAAAAGCTATCTTTGTGAGTGTCCTGCAATTTGTTTTTAAAGGATAATTTGTCAACTCTTATTGCTTAGGATACCTCTAATTGTAACATGAAAGCCATTCAGCCATTAAATGTAATATCATTTCTGTTGTATAGCTTAAAATGAAAATTATAGCACCTCACTATAACATATTGTCAAATTGGAAAGTGAATAGTGAATCCACAAGCAAAGTGATTAGGTAGTAGATACTGATGACTTGCCATGGGTTCATTCTGGGTGTGTTTGTAAATTATAGTGAGGAATGAAGTTATCAGAGCTTTAATTTCATATGATTTGATATCATAGAGATAAGTAGACATTAGAATAAGGTGTTCTCAAATAATCTGGAGTACTTATGTGCATATTCTCGCTGTATCTGGTTTTCCTCTTTGGAAATAATTTCCTTAAGGCAGAAGATGTTCCTCCTTCTTTCTTTGTGGAAAGGAAGAAACGACTGACCAGTCACACTGTGCTTTTGTGTCAGGACAGTCTGGTTACAAGTGACAGAAACTGAAACTAATGTAGGCAAAGTAAAGTATTCATTGGCTCATATATAATAACTAAATCTCTGAATGGGCAGATCTTAAATCTGTGATTTAAAAAAACACAGAAAAAATAAACAAGGAAACAAGAACATGAAATTCATGATATTTAAGAGAGTTTGGATTTTTTGGTCTAATAAGGAAAAGGGTTATGTGTGAAAAAGAGTACTAATGTACACAAATGCTGTAGTTAGTAAATGTTATTTTGCAGGGTTACAGGTTAGCAAATCTGAAACTGTATTATATACATATACAAATGGGAAAATATCTATTGTGGATAATGACAGCCTCATTTCCATTCTCAGAAATACAGAGCTATAAATAAGGAGAGAAGGAAAGCTAAGATTAACCCTGTAGTACAGGACAAGAATCACAGATACAGGTATGACCTATGGATTTTAACAGATATACAGAAGGGTGGGTTTAAAAATAAATATAAATGTGCATACATATATGTGTTAATAAACATACATATATTTCCTACCTCTGTACACTGACAGAGCCTATCAACAATAATAAACCAGCAGTTCAGAGCACAACTACCATCTAGACCTTTCCAAATACCATTCTCCAATCAAAGGAACAAGAACTTCTTGGGGAACTGACTGATTCCAGGGCTGGGCAGAAAAAAAACACAAGGCAACCCTTGAACAACATTGATAAATGAATGGGTAGACAAAATGTGTATATATAGAGAGAGGACTATTATTCAGCCTTATATAAAGGGGGGTGGAGAATCCTGGCACATGCTACAACATGGATAAACCTTGACATACTAAGTAAAATAAGCCAGATCCACAAAGGTGAACATCATATAATTCCACTTATATGAGGTACTTAGAATAGCCAAATTCAAAGACACAAAAAGGAGAATGGTGGTTTCCAGGGTCTGATGGGAAGAGGGGAAACAGGAAACTAGTGTTTAATGGGCACAGAGCTTGAGTTGGAGAAAATGAAAAAAGTTCTGGAGATAAATGGTGGCGACGGTTACATAACAATGTGAATGTTCTTAATGCCACAAAACTGCATACTTAAAAAATGGTAAATTTTATGGTACGTCTATTTTATCCCAATAAACCTATTTTTTTATTGGGATGAAATGGACATACCATAAAATTTACCATTTTTTCAGTATACGGTTTTGCGGCATTAAGAACATTCACACTGGCACACTGGATTTGGAAAACAAGTTGGCATCATCTTGTAAATTATAAAAATACTTATCTCAAAAAGTATTTATTCCAGTAAATAGCCTCCTATGCTTCTAGCCTAGATATACATTCTTGCCCATGTGTTGCAAGGGGCAAAACATGCGTGTTGAAGAATAAAGCAACAGAAAAAATCATATACAGCCCAATGTCCTTCAACAGGAAGAAGCAAAAATCAGGATTAATAAGTTCAAATACAGTCACATTAGAAACACTCTACAGCAGTGAAATTAATAAGCCAAACTTACGTGCATGAATGTGGATGAATCCAAAAATAAATTGACTGAAAAAAGCAAATCACAGAAGAATGCATACAATAACACAACACACAGGGGCCTAAACCATATAAAACTCGACAATTCATTATTTAGGGATATATACATATGGAATATTCTATAATACCAATTGGTGTAATGATAAACTTATTGGGGTGGGAGGAAGATTACTATGACTGGAGGGCAGCACATAGAAATTTAAAAGGTATTACTCTATTTTTTAAGCTGGGTAGTAAGTACATGATACATGATTTTTCTTTGATTGCTTTATCTATCAATCATATTAGTTACTCTTTTACATGGATTATATTGCTAATAAAAAGGAAAAACAATTTTTTGTTGTTCACTTTTTTTTTTGTTTTTTTTTTTTTGAGATGGGGTCTTGCTCTGTCACCCAGGCTAAAGTGCAGTGGCGTGATCTCCGCTCATTGCAACCTCTGCCTCCCGGGTTCAAGCTATTCTCCTGCCTCAGCTACCCGAGTAGCTGGGATTATAGGCCTGGCCTGCCACCACACCCGGATAATTTTTGTATTTTTAGTAGAGATGGGGTTTCACCATACTGGCCAGGCTGGTCTCAAACTCCTAATCTTGTGATCCACCTGTCTCAGTCTCCTAAAGTGCTGGGATTACAGGTGTGAGCCACTGCGGCCAGCCTATTTAATTTTAACAATGTCAGAATGTCTAACCTGTTCCTGGAAATGGTAAGCTCTGATGAAGCAGTAAAGTCCTAACACAATTTTTAAACCATAATGTTCAAACTTTCTTCGCAGAGTACACAAACCATTAAAGATTTTTGTTAATCATTTTCTTTCATAACATAACTTGGGAATATATGATATAAACTCCCTTCATAAATGGTATGATATAAATGCCCTCTGTGAAATGATAAAGACTATTTGTTATACAGTGTAAATTCATCATATATCAGGGATCAAGGAGTATTGATTTTCCTACCAAACAAAAGTTTAGAGATTTGGTCTACATTTTCAAAACACTAGTGCTACATGCCTGGATTCCAAAGTCAGACTGCCTTGGATTAAATCCCAATTCTTCCATTTCCAACTACAGAAACATGGAAGTTACTTCACCTTTCTGCACATTTGTTTTCCCACTTGTAAAATGGAGGTAAGAATAGTTGGCGGGGTACAATGGCTCACGTCTGTAATCCCAGCACTTTGGGAGGCCGAGGTGGGTAGATCAATTGAAGTCAGGAGTTCGAGACCAGCCTGGTCAACATGGCGAAACCCCATCTCTACTGAAAATAGAAAAATATTAGCTGGGCATGGTGGTGCATGCCTGTGGTCCCAGCTACTCAGGAGGCTGAGGCAGGAGAAACACTTGAACCTGGGAGGCAGAGGTTGCAGTGAGCCAAGATCGTGCCACTGTGCTCCAGTCTGGGTGACAGAGCAAGACTCTGTCTGAAAAAAAAAGAAAAAAGAAAAAAGATATATAACTTAATTTTTTATTTTTGGATAATTGAGACAATATGCAGTTGTAAGACATAACACAGAGATCACATATACCTATTACCTACCTATTAGTAGCTGTTAGATATTAATATCACCTTCATTAGAAAAACTTTATTATCTGTTCATACATTTAATATGTAATTTACATATACACAATGAACTATTAAAAAGGCAATAAAAATCAATCTAGAGTCTTGTTTAAAGCTCTCAGTCATTTCATTTTTCTTCATAAAGTTTGTTGTAAAACAAGCAGTGTCAGTATTCTAGAAATATGGGGAGAAGAGGAAAATCAAAGGTCTTAAGTGGCTGTCTCAATACTATAAAACAAGTAATTGTTTAAGTCCAGTTATCAGAACATACAAAATATGCTATAATTTAATTTTTAGTCTTAAAGGAAATCTTGAGAACTATGAATACATTAAACTGGTTAAGCTATAACAAGGTAATAATGGCCACAACATCAATATTAAATTTAAAAATTTAGAGAAATGATTTGCTTAATTCTACAAAGGCACTGATTAAAGGGACTTCCAAACAAAACTCCTTTACTCACCTTCTTCATCATCAATATCACTATTAGGTCTGGTTTCAACATCCTCTGGGCTAGAATTTTTAGACCAGCAGTTCAGAGCTTGAAGGACTGCTATTACTTTTCAGCTTAAGAGCTTTCACTTGTGTCAGTGACAGCAATTAGAGAGAAGACAAAAACTACATAACAGTAAATAAATAAAACAGCACAGGACGCCATACAGATTCCAGGACCCCAACACAGAGGATAGGACAAGAATCTATGTAAGTTTCCTAGACTCTTCTAATGGAATCACTCTTCAAATCAGTAATTGAGAATCAATGAAGCAGGTGCAACTCTTTAGAGAATATGAAGGAGAAAAGGGAGAACCAGGGAGACAGAGAACCCCCATCCAAATCAGCCAGTCAGTAATCGGTGGACACAGCCCCAATGAGTGCCCAAGACTTTGAGCCCCTGTCTAAACTTCTACCACATGAGCATGCCTCACATTTCTTCAAATGACTGCAAGTCCAGCTCTTAAAAACCTATCAAATATCTCAACATACATATTAGTCTAACAATTTCCTCCCAGGGCAAAGAATTTAAACGTACTTTAACAGACATCAAGGGATCACTGCATGTTCTGGAGATCTGTTTCGTAACCTTTTTTCCCTCCATTCAGAATATATGGAAACGGCATTTCTTAGGCAGTATGTGCCAGTCAACCAGGGGCTTAGATGACAGATTTCTATTATCCTAAGGCTTGACCTGCAAGAGCTTGAATTAAATGTCTTTCCAGCAGGACAATGTCTTCCCAAATATATGCTACCTTAACCTAACCATTTAAGGTCAATTTAAGAAAAGAAGGAAGAAGACCTGATCACTTTTCTCACAGAATTTTTCTGAAATCTTATTTTAACGTAAGAAATAGAAGTATTAAATAGACAGGTAACTCTACGAGTCAATGAAACTAATAAAATTTTATATTTCTCTGTTTTTGGAAAAGGCCCTGTTTTCCTCAGAAGGTTAAACAATATTTAATTATGATTTCTTTAGCCTGTGAAAAATAGACAAAACTTTTAAAAATGCACTAACCATTATTTCACAATCACTTAAACATTTAAAGTCCTTTAAAGTTAATAATCCTTTGGCTATTAGCAAATGCTTGATCCTGAGGCAAATTTAAAATTCTGAGCATGCAAAGTGTGATGACCCTTAAAGCTGTAGCCTATAACACCACAGTATTCCTGGTCTGGAAATTGTTGTTGGCCTGATTTTGGTTACCTTAAGATGCCTCAGTGTTGAACCCCAGAAAATTGGGGCCTAACCTATATAGACATGTATTTCCCCAACTGAACACATCAAACGTATGACACTATCATGGAGAAGTCATCTGCTTCACAAGGTACTAGGTAGATGGTCCACTGTGTTCAACAGCAGCTGACATTCAAAGAGAGCCAAAGGTAGTATGTACTGGGATATTGTAACCTAGAGGTCATAAAAGAGAAGAGAATAATAAAGTAGAATAATAAAAGACACATATGCTCATACTAAAGTTCTTAAGGCTGGTTCTTTCCACATGAGTTAATTTAATTCTGGAACCACATACATTGACCTGAAACTCACAGAAATTCCACAGCAGTCTGGCAGAATTTCATTTATGTTTTCTCTCTTGGTACTGTTTTCTCTCACATAAAATACTGCAGTACGTTCTGCATCATGCGGAGAATGTTTTATTGGGTACTGACATGATGTAAAGGCAAACCTAAACATTCTTGAACTCTTCTATCAGAACTTTGTATCAAATTAATGGGACTATACAAGCATTTTTACCTTACAATTCTGGAAACGGAATTTTTTTTTCAAAAGGGTAAGATAATCTAGGAATAAACTATAATAAAAGGAATGCAACAAGCATTATTCATGCATTCCCTAAGTAGCTTGCTCCCAAACATCATTTATATTTCAACTGAGTTTTAGCCTTTTATATTTGAGATGTACTATGCTAAATTAGAAAATCCCATCCACCAGAATAAGATTTTTAATTTGTTCTTGGCTCCCAAAAAATACTGAGAACAATATCTTTTAGCATTCCACAGTCCAGGTGGACAATTTAAAGCTGTTAAGAAAGGCATTTTAAAATTTCTATACAAATGACTGTCTATGTAGGTGACACTTGATCATAGCTTTGAAAAAAATGCCACCAGGAAAAGACTTTGTGGTTTCTGGCCTTAAACAATATTGAAAAAGTAAAAGAACATACTATGCCCTTGAGGATACATTTTAACATAAAAAATTACTCTGGTACAATTCTATGAGAAGAATTTTACATGAGACTTAGGATGTAAATCCCTAGAAACAAAAATGGAAATTAAATTATCTGATGTGACTAATATATAAAGTTCTTACAAGTACTGAGACTATTTAGGAGAATTTTGTACAGGTGAAAGTGATATAATTACATTATTTCACTATTATCAGGATTTGATCAAAGAATTCTAAAACCCGAATATCTATGTCTACTTTCTAATACTAGGAGATCGTTTCTGAAATCTAATAACCAAAATGTTTATGTTTATAATTTGTAATGTCAAAAGCAAGCTTTCATGCTACATATATTAGTTCTTCTATATGAAATATATTTAATTCTTCCATAATCACAAATCATGTGTGTCATAAACACAAGTACACACATTAAAAATATGTCTCCAGCTGGGCACAATGTAATCCCTGCACTTTGACAGGCTGAGGCAGGAGGATCGCTGGAGGCTAGGAGTTGAGACCAGCCTGGGCAACATGGTGAGACTCTGTCTCTACAAAAAAATTAAAAAACAAAACAAATCAATTAAAAAAATCTGTCTCTATAATTAGAATATTTTATTTATACATAGTCAGACAGGTTCCCTCAGTCACAGAAGAGTACTTGCTCCTCCCAGTTCTGAGACATTGACCCTTGAGTTCTATCCTCATCCTGCTGTGGGTCGGGAGTTTTGATGAGGGAGATACTGACCAAGAGATGAAGTCTCCAAAGGGGTCTCTTGGTCTCCTCCTCACCCCTCCAGACTCCCATGCCAGGGTCTCCCCGTGGCCGCCTCTGGGTAGAGCTCCACAATCTTCAGTAGGGAATATTTTCAAGGTAAAATTAAAAGCTTAAAACATGAAACTCATAGGATGGTTTTATTTTCTGCATTACTATTTTTTAAAATTTTAATATTAAGGAATCATTGCTTAGCACTTCTACCATATTCTACTGAGACTGTATGAAGTCAACGAACACAAATCTCCACAGACATAATTTAACATATACAGAATTTCCACAACAATATTGAAAAAGGGCTTATTGCAATCCTGTGTGGAAAATACAGTACAAAGGTTTGTGTGTATGCACAAACACACAATAATTCATTTATTTAGTCATGAAAGATCATTTATAACAAGCTATAATTCATAGTTACAATAATTTATTTAGTTATCCATCATCTACTAGATATATCTAGGCACACTGCTTGGCCTTTGTGATAAAAATATAAAATACCAAGAAAAGTTTCAATACTATGTCAACTTATGTAGAAAAAAATCCATATAAAATAGAAGCCAAAAAGTTGTAACAGTGATTTCGTCAAAAAACTGTCCTAAAAACATCAGCAACTCCATATCTTGCTTAACCCTTGGATCTTAAAGCATATGCTAATCTCACCATTTAAGCTTCTCAGTGCCTCTGGAACAAATTCCTGACAATAGTACCACCACCATAATAAATTTGCAGTCCCACTCGGGCTTCATGTGGTCTGGATTTCCATTCAGGTTGCTGGGCATTAGAGCACACATATGCATGTGTAGGAGAGTGCACAGAAACACACAGGAATGTGCTGATGCAGTTCACTGAGAAACCACTCTGCCATATCAGACATCACAGCAGCTGCTTGGCTCCCCTGCTCAAAAAAATCCTGCTACTTTTCAAATCTTAAACAATTTCATTCATCTCAGTCATTCCTGCAAACAAAAACAGGCCATGCAAATTGCACAGGTCCACAATCCCTTATCCATTATTCCAATATCCAAGCGTGTTTTCTTATCTTTTTGTACATTTGGCACAAACTATATTGACTGGAAACTATTTATCATCATTATTTCACCAGATATAAATATTAGTGTTTTGCTAGAAAAATATTAATGTCTATGATTACAGGGTACTGCCAAAGACCATATGAGGAGTGTTACTTAGTATGTAGTAGATGCATCTACTACTTACCTAAAAATCAAAAAAATTTCCAATTCTGAAACTCATTTGTTTTCAAGGACTTCCAGTCCCTCTTTATTTCAGATGGCCTTTCTTTTACCTCCACTAAAATGTGACCGAGATCATCACCCTAGACTTTTCTCCTCTATACCTTAAAATCTTTCCTCATGTCCAACTCGACTTATTTTTCTCCTGTCTTTGAAGAAAAACGCTATTTCATATTTTTCAAAGTAAACCCCTACCTAGGCTGGTCACCACACCCCATCCAATTTTCTGGAGTCTTCTTCTATCAGTTGTCACTGGCATTTTGACTTTTTTCTCCCCACTGTCCCTTATTTTCTTCTCAAATCTGGATGGATTTCTCCTTACCCTTTTCTTTTTCTTTTTCTTTTTTTTTTTTTGAGACAGAGTCTCACTCTGTCGCCCAGGCTGGAGTGCAGTGGTGCGATCTTAGCTCACTGCAACCTCTGCCTCCTAGGTTCAAGCGATTCTCCTGCCTCAGCCTCCCGAGTGGCTGGGACTACAGGCACCTGCCACCATGCCCGGCTAATTTTTTGTATTTTTAGTAGAGACAGCGTTTCACTGTGTTAGCCAGCATGGTCTCGATCTCCTGACCTCATGATCCTCTCACCTCGGCCTCCCAATTCTCCTTACTCTTATGTAAAAATGAAATAAATTTTACCCTTGCAAAGACATGCAAAACTACACTCCTTTTTCTTCTAAACCATACTTTAAAAAAGTTTAAAGCCTGTCTTCTGTCTTCATTCACTCATCCATTCACCCAATCAAAGAACTGTTACTGAGTACCTATTGTGCACCAAGTATTTAGAACAGAAATATGATCAGCACTAAAGGACCGCATAGTATCAGTTGCAGATGGAAGAAGGATGGAGATTAAGGAACAATTCATCAACAATCACCTTATAATGCACTTGGCTAGCGTTCGGTCAAACTTAAGTACCTGCTGCTGCCTCCACACACTTCACTGCTTTGGACTGCTTGTTCACCTACTCTTAAGCAAACCACAATGACTCACTAAAACTGTAGTTTTCCCAAGTACAGAGACACATTTTTATCTTTTCTCCTCCCCAGCTTACTATCTAGTCAGTCAGTGGCTTGACAGATGATATTTAACAGACATCTATTAAATAGAAGTTAATATATTTGTTTAATAGAGCATTTTATTTCATTTTGTCCTTATTTTTGTTATTTTCTAGTACTTCATGCTATGGAAATTATGTGAGAGATATTTGTATGCTTAAATTCTTACATGACTAATTTTTTGAATGGCCCTCATTCACTGCTATTCTCAAATGTCACTTCCTTAGAAGAGCCTCCTTTAACTGATTGATTTAAAATGCCTTTGCCTCCAACCACTCACTCTCTGTTCTTTTACTCCACTATGTGTGTCTTTATAGCCATTACCAAGCATTACTTGCTATATTATTAATGATGCTTTGCTTACTGTCTCCTTTCCCCACAAGAATATGGGCTTCATGAAGGGAGACCCTTGTCTTTCACGTTTCCCTCATATCACCAGTGCCCTAGCACATAATCGGCTCCCAATACTAAACATAGTGAAAATAAACCAAGAATTACATCTGCCATGCTCATCACTGAAAATAAGATGCTGAGTGTCAGTGAAAGTAGGTGCACAGTTTTCAATTAATTCTACCCTTCCTGTACTATATTTGATGTGTTGCAAGCACTGAGCAGTTTTTCTTCCTTCTTTTGTGCCCAAACAGCTTAACCTTTTATTTAAGTGTCTCTGGTCCAAAAAACATTAAAATTGGGCAGCTCTAATAAATACTACTACATAATGCCTCGCTCCAGTTCTCTGCAGCAATTAGTACTCTGGTGATGAAATGTGCCTCTAGGTTCAAAATTTTATAATGTTTTGACAGTTGGAATCTTACCAAGCATGAAATGAACCAATAAAAAATTCTTTTTTGTTATCATTCTCCAAGCATTAGGGGAAAAAATATTCTCAATATATAAGAGTAGCACTCTAGGAAAAAAATTAGTGGCCCCCTCAGATTCAAAGGGGAGGGTTTATGTAGCATTCAAATGAAGAAAAGATAAATGTAAAATCTCTGATAACTAAAAGCCACGAGCAAGTTCTATTTAACAGGCAAGTGCATCTCAATCACCTTGATTAGCAAAGCAAGATAATATGCATTAAAATCTTCATGCCAGTCAAAATTCTCATAAATACCATATTTTATTTTCCACCTTTAACTGTTTGATGATCATGGTATCTTTAATCACCTCAGATGGTTCTTTATGAAGATTGTTTATATTTGAATATAGTTTTCCTCTCAATATCCTTTCATCCTGAAGAAAATATGCATGACTCTGACAGTATTTCAAAAGCTGGTAAAGATTTCAGTTGCATCAATGGATGTCATGTGTCTTACCTGAAGTAACAAGAGCTACAGTTTCAACGTTCATCTTTACATATACTGATACATTAAAACCTTTAAAGATTCCAAGCATCTGTATGAATCCAAACATATTCTCAATAATATCTGCATGATTTTATTCAAAATAAAAAATACTGTTATGATGAAAAGTTCTGGAGATGAATAGTGGTGCTGGTTATACAACAATGTGAATGCACTTAATGCCACAGAACTGCATACTTAGAAATGATGAAGATGGTACATTTTAGGTGTACTTTAGCACAATACAAATTTTCCTTCATACCTGAGCACTCATTTTCTTATATTTTATTCTGAAACATTTATGCCATATCTGGAAAAATTTGACAAATCATTTCCTAAATGTATACTTCAACACTATGTAACAGGTTCTAATTAACCTTTTTGATATTTGGCACTCATTAACTTCCTTGAATTTTTAAGGTGCCAAGAAAACTTTAAAAAAAAATTATAGAAATGTGCCCTACATTGTGGCATCTAATTTACTACCATAAAATATGAATTTTCTTTATAAATTATACAATAACATAGAATAAACTATGTGGTGTACATTCTCAGTGTGTGGTGGGACATGAAGCAGAATCCAAGGGTCATTTAGTAAATGATATTGTAACTGTACCCCTCTAAAATGAAATGCCATGCTTATGAATTGGTTATTTTTTAATGATTAAGCTAACGAGTTCTGAACTTTTAACCTATATGGGTTTCATAATTACACAGCTTGAAATCCTCATCAGAAAATCTGTCTGCTCCTGAAATTCAAATCATTTTATAATCTTGAATAATGCATGGCAACTCTACAGAAATTAAAACATTTCATAAAAGTAAAGAAATTCACAATCTTTTCTGTATTTTTACAAGAGCATAAAGTAACAGAAATAAACTAGCTGTCACTTCCTTTGACTGCCCCATCCAACCTCTCCCATTCCCATCTCTTTAACAAGAAGCATCTTATTTATCTTTACATAAACTTCATAATGGATACAGCCTCATGGGACAAACATCTCATAAATGAGCAAGTGCAGGGACAGTAGAGTTCCAGAAAAATACCATGAAAATGGAAAACCAAATTTTGTGTCTAAGCATGGTGGTTAAGAACTCTGGCTTTGGAGACTGACAGATCTGAGTTTGAGTCCTGGCTTAATCAGGTACTGGCTCTTTAGAAGTGTGCAAACCACTTAATCCTGTTCTCTGAGCCTTAGTTTACCAATTTGTAAAATGGGGATAATAGGTCTATCTCACTGGGTAATTTTAAATAATCGATGAGATAATATAAGCAATGTTTTTAGCACTATGCCTAAAATTAATAAAGTATCAATAAAGTAAATTCTAATTGGAATCATGAAGAATATTCCAATTACAATCTTATAATTCAACAATAACAGTTTTCACATTTAAAAGTGCTTCTTCACTTAAACAATTGAACAAGAAAAAAAACAAATAACTCTATTGGCCAGGCATGGTGGCTCACGCCTGTAATCCTAACACATTGGGAGGCCAAGGCAGGCAGATCACCTGAGGTCATGAGTTTGAAACCAGCCTGGCCAACATGGCAAAACCCCATCTCTACTAAAAATACAAAAAATTAGCCAAGTATGGTGGCCAGTGCCTGTAATCCCAGCTACTTGTGAGGCTGAGGCAGGAGAAACATTTGAACCCAGGAGGTAGAGGTTGCAATGAGCCGAGATCCTGCCACTGTATTCCAGCCTGGGTGACAGAGCAATACTCCTTCAAAAAAAGAAAAAAATAAAATAAAAATAGGCAAAAGACACGAACACTTTTCAAATGAAGGCATACAAGTGGCCAACAAATATACTTTTAAAATGCTCATCATTATTAATCACTGGAGAACCGCAAATTAAAACCACAATGAAATACCATCTTATACCAGTCAGAATGGCTTAAAAAGTCAAAAAGCAACAGATGCTGGTGAGGCTGCAAAGAAAAGAGCACACTTAAACACTGTAGGTGGAAATGCAAATTAGTTCAGCCACCTTGGAAAGCACTCTGGAAATTTCTCAAAGAACTACAAATAGAACTAACATTCAACCCAGCAATCCCACTATTGGGTACATAGCCAAAAGAAAACAAATCCTCTACCAAAAAGACACATAAACTCACATGTTCACAGCAGCACTATTCACAGTAGCAAAGACATGGAATCAACCCAGGTGTCCATCAATGGTGGATTGGCTAAAGAAAATGTGGTACATATATCCCATAGAATTACTACGCAGCCATAAAAAAGAATAAAATCATGTCCTTCGCAGCAACATGAATGCAGCTGGAGGCCATTATCCTAAGTGAATTAACTCAGGAACAGAAAACCAAATATGGCATGTTTTCACTTGTAAGTGGGAGCTAAACAACACGTACTCATGGACATAAAGATGGCAACAATAGACATTGGGGACTTCTAGAGGGGGAAGGTAGCAAAAAGGGAAAGGGTTCAAACGCTAACTCTTGGGTACCTTGCTCAGTACCTGGATGACAGGATCACTGGTACTCCAATCTCAGCATTATGCAATATACTCGGGTAACAAACCCGTACATGTACCCCCTGAAGCTAAAAGTTGAAAAAGAAAAAAAAAATAATAAAATAAAATTGCTTCCTCAGTAGAAGTCATCGTTAAATACTTTCTTTTCATTCTTTTCAATTGGTGAATACTTCCAGAATTCTACGGCATTAATAAAATGCTGAAAATCAGTTAAATCCAGAAGAAAACAACACTCAACTTAAAATAGAGTTTCAGATTTAAAAAAAGTTAGATTTGCCTTTAAACCTTTCATATGTGTATTTCAAGGTACATACATTTTAAAAGCAAACTACAGCTAATAACTTACCAATAATCACCTATAAAACAAATGGAAATTTTTCTTCCAAACACCAGAAATCAGAATATTCAGCTACCTAGGTAAGCAACCAGCCCAATAAGTCCCATGAGTATAGACATTTACTTAGTTCTCTAGACAAGAATTCTATGCTGTATTTATAGGGTTAAAAGTCCTTTTCCTAAAATATCCCAGGATTTTTACACTGAAAACACATCTTGCTTTTACATTTTAATTACAGTAAATAGAGTATTTATCAGAATTATAGCAAAATGTTCAAGGAAAAAGCAAAGGAAGGAAGCTAAAGCTAAAAATCCCCATTCAAACAAGGATGGGCCAAATACATATTGAAAATCATCTTTCAAAGAATAAATACATAGAAAAATGTGTTAAGTCAAAGAAAAGTATGTTACTAAAACAATTTTGTATGAAAAAGTATAAATGTAAATATTTATGCTTCAATACATATACAAAAGAAATTTATATGCCCAACTTTTAATAATGACTACTCCTGCTTGATGTGATTGCAGATGATTTTGGTATTCATCTTGGTATTTTACCATATTTAAAATTTTTTGACATTTAACAAGTACTAACTTTTTTAGTAGTGTTGGGTTTAACAGTTAACAGTTTAACAATTTTAAAACAAAGGAAAAAACAAACAAAAGTGCCTCTTATTCAAAAATTCTGTCCTACCACCTTTTAACCTTAAGAAATTCTTAAACACTGTCACTCAAATACAATAAGAAAATCATGTATAAAAATTGTCCTGCCTTAGATGAATTCTTAAAGCATTTAGACTTCAAACACTATAATCAAGACACTGGCATTGCCCCAAAGTAAATGATGGGAAGTACAAAGCAGATTTCAGGTTTTATGCATGCTTGTAGCTCCAGATCCAATGGACAGTGAAGAGATACTATAAAACACTGATTTGGCTGAAGTATTAATCAACTAGATGTCATAATAAAAGATTGCGTGTCAAAAATTCAATCCAGAGCTATATTCCTCTCCTTATATGAAGACACTATCAAATTTTTAAAAATCTATTTATTTCATATAAGGTGTGCTACTGACCAAATGGTGCTCAGAGTATTCCAGACATAATTATTTTCACTGTACAAAATTAAATTTTCCAATAAAGTTATAACTAGGAGTAAAATAAAGTTTCTAAGTCCCAAATTATTATGTTAACTTTCAGTAACATGAGGCTATCAGATGCTATAGCTGAATAAAAGAAAACATTGTTTAAATAAGAGGAAAATATTTGTTTTGGAAAAAGAGGAAAGCAATATATTGAATTAAGATACCAGGGAACAGCCTTTGAAGTATTCATCTCAATAAATCTAATTTTCAATTTTAGCTTCTGATTTCTAACAAACAGCAAAGATTTAAAGAACAGTACTGCAGGATTTTTAATATTCCACCTTTATTTGAATATTTATTTCAAGTATCAATGTGGCAGGAAATACACAAGTTTTCAACCTAGACTTTCTTGGAACAGACCAACTTGATACATTTTCTGTTAGTGTATATACATATAAAAAATACTAAGGTTTAAAATTAACTTGGCCAGTCAGAAGCTGCATTCCATATTTTGATGCATTATATATAAGAATACAAGATTCATCTCAGATTGGTCTCTGTTAAATGCAAAATATTTCATCCATTTTTATGCTAAATCATTGTAACTACTTAACTTCCTTATTTCCATTTGGGAAATAAGTTTCCATTTGGGAAAGAGTCATGTAAATAGTTTGAGTGTTGATGCCTTTGACATGGAGCCTCCCCAAACATTATTGTATCATTGTCTATCACATTATTCTTTGTTGCTTGTCTTATTGTAACATTCATTACAGCACTTTTTAAATCATCAGCACACTAAATCTGCAAATTACTTATTTTTCTAACTCATCACATTTATCTCCCCCACCCCCAACACTTCTACAGTGTTCTTACAAATCCTCCGGGAATCTCACTCGCTTAACCTCCAATCTTCCTA
This sequence comes from Homo sapiens, assembly GCF_000001405.40. Taxonomy (NCBI): domain Eukaryota; kingdom Metazoa; phylum Chordata; class Mammalia; order Primates; family Hominidae; genus Homo; species Homo sapiens. Next base: position 204,699,492 of record NC_000002.12, on the reverse strand, counting down.
AATATACCAAATTATTCTGTCTTGTTAGGGAAGAGTGGCATGTTCTGAAGCTTGTTTAAAGAACCCTGATTTTGACAGCCATGTAGCCACTTCAGAAAGGAGTGATTGTGATTTCAATGTCACAATGTAAAGGACCACTGTCTTTATATTGCTTGGACATGAAGTACATTGAATATATCACAGATGTGTTTTCAGTGTCCAAGCGTAAGCAACCCCACTTCCTCGGTGAACAAGAAATATCCCCAGTCTGCCCCATTTAGGGGCCCAGGGCTCCCTGGGAGTCTCCAGGCTTTACTTGCTACACCAGGGGCACCTAGACACTTCTTTATAACTTGGGTAAAGAGTCAGAAGAAAAGAGTCATATGTCAGGTCAAGGGCTTCATTATTTTTTGAGATAATTTTGGGAAAACTGATAATTGCAAAACTTCTTCACAGCTAAGGGGAAGCTGGAGTATTAACCACATTATGATCTCATGCCATTGGATAATAACTTAAAAGATTATTATACTTCACTCTGAGTTCTGAGAAACTTCTTAAACTGCCCAAGGTTTTTCTTTTTTATATTTGTTTGCTTTAAATATAGTCTCCAGTTTCTTGATGTAAATAGGATTGCACCCAGTTGAAGCGACATTTTGAGGTTAGTGTCAAATGTTTCTTCCAAGTTCTTAAAATAAAAAGGAGGAACGCTACAATTTTAAAGAAATCCATTGGAAAAATGGCCTCTATGTTACTCTGTAAGACCACGCATTGACGTAACCACTTATACTTTAAGTATCTAAAAAGGCTAAAGACAGAACTCCTTCTGATTTCCCAGTCACTAGAATATTGGCTCTCAATACATAATTTTTGAAGTAATGAATAATAGAAATAATGAGCGTTTATGACAAACACATCTTAATAGATGTGTTAAATAGCATTAATTATTTCTTCCAGAAAAAAAAAACCCAATCAACAATCAAGGATAACAAAGACTTTAAAATAAAAAGATATAATTCGCACCAAATGGAAAAATTCCAAGTTAATCTTGCCTAGTAAATCTAAGCCATGCAAACCAAACAACTGGAATATGCATTTTTACCCCTCCAGATTTTAAGATGTGTAATTCTTTCATTGACAATTCAAAAACTTCTGAAAGAAAGGAGCTAAATAATTTGGCAGAAATGTGAACAACAATCTGAAAACTTTCCAATTAATGACGTATAGAACTGAAAGAGGTTAGGACAAATATGTCCTAATCAAATGGAAATAAAGAGGAGCCCAAAAAATAGAGCCTAAGCTTCTCTAACAGGGTAACCAACGACAATCCGTAATCTGTGAGTCACAGAAAAACGCAATGGAAACAGGCGTAAATGTAAGGCAATACATGGCCCGTGTAATTGGAGGTTCCAAGTTAGGAGGGTCTTGAGAGTTGACTCAACCCATTGGCTCTGACGCCATGTTCCTTAGATTACCGGAACCTGAATTTCTTCTCTTGTTGGAAGCTAGATGGCAGCCATGGATCTAAACTTCATAACAACAAAATAAAATTCGGAGAAAATTTCTCCCACAAGATGAAACGATCTTTCCCAGAAGGACTCAGCAAATCTCTCTTTGAACATATTTGGCACAAACTGAATCACACGACCATTCCCAAAGTAATCACTGTCACAGGGAACCAAATATTAGTAACAGACGAAGGGCCACCCAGGGTCACCCTTGCAGGTGAGTAGTCACATGCACTGAACCATATGGGCTTCAAGTTGAAGGGAGAGAGAATCTGAACACAACCGGAGGGAGAAAGGGGACAACGGATGTGAGGTCAGCAAACAACACTGTATCACAACGGACTATGTAGGCCAATCCTGTATTTCCAGACTGAAATGCATGCCTCAGAGGCTGACAGTTGGCCTTTAGAAGTCTCTAATCAAACTGCAAAACTAAAAGAGGAATTCCTGGCAGATGTCTGCCCCACTCTTGCTTATATACTCGGTCTCAGTGACTAAGATGAGCTCCTGTGTTAGAAAGCAGCATGTGCTTCATTGAGAAGCTGTTCATTATATTCAGCTGAAAAAGATTTTCTTGAAACACCACTGGCCCGATTTCTTAGAGCAATAGGGAATGAATTTATACCTTTTCTATGATCACTCAAATAGTTGAGGACAGTTAGCAGGCTCCCTCTGAACCCTCTCTTCTCAATTGTAGTCCCAGGTTCCTCAGTCTTAACACTAGGTACTTCCATTTCCAAGTAAGTCAACCAAGAGCTCTGTAAAATTCCCATTTAAAAGGCGAACTATTTAGAACACGTCATTTTACCACAATGGGTTCATTTTGAACTGGTATACAGTGGCCACACTTAGCCAGCAGTCTAGAAAATCAACTTCTATCCCTGTTATCAATTAAGAACTATGAGATTCTTCAACTTTTACACAAGTATATGCATATTTAAGATTGTTAGGCTATTAGAATAATCTCAAATCATATTATTTTGTAGTCTTTCTGGTCTGTTTGTAGTTAAGTATTGTATAAACATGTGTATTTCAATTGTAACATGGTTTTGGTTGAGATTAATGAAGACATTATTTCTGAACATGTTTCTATGCTATTTCACTCCTGATTTAAAGTCTGCACAAGGAGGCTTTCTTCTTTATTGTTAAGAAAATGTCACTTGATCCTTCAAAACTGATTCATAACATCGAAGTAAAGCTAAAAAGATAACTTAAAAAGTTAAAAGAGTAAACATTAAGTTTAGTAATCCTGCCGCAATTCTGTAAGTGAAGTTTCCATATTCACATGACAGGGAAAACACACTTTCTTTCTAAATGTGATATTAAATACTTATAGGACTTTCAAACGCTACAACTTAAAAGCCTAAGCTTAAGGAAACTGAATATTCTTATTTACTAAAAATGTATCTATAAGTACAAGCGGTTTATATAGAATTTGGAACAGGTACCTCATAAAAGTGTGACAAACATCAGTTTGATTCCAAGAGAAGTCAAAAACGTCTTGTTGGATTCACAATATGGCTAATTAATAATATAAAGTGAGTTTAGGTCCTGGAAATAGGAGAACCAGCATAGTAAATTAAGAGTCTGGTATATGGTTACTCCCATTAAATTGCTCAATAGCAAATATCTCTTGGTGAAACTATCAAGTAACTAAATAGTTGCTTGTTTAAGGTTCAGTGGTTATTTGCCCATACTGAGCAGTGTCCTGTTGACCTGTTTTTTGTTTCCGTTTTTTTCTTCCGTTAAATCATGAGACCTCAGGTCATGATTTAACGGAAGGTCAGCTGTTTTTCTCACAACTTTCCATTTTATTTCTTGAGATTTTTCCTAACCTAAGATAGAGATACCTCCCCCGATACTCCCTATTGTTTCAAAGCACCCACCTCCCATTTTATAGAACCCGCTGTTACTCATTAAGAAATAGGCAGCAAACATGATACCTGATAACCTATGCAGACGTTATCAAGGTTCTGGAATCTTGGGAAGATTCTGAACAACTATCCTTGTACTTTAGTTTTCACCTTCCTTGATGGTCTGTACCTGGAAGTTCTGATATCCCTTCTTACCACCCACATTCACTTATTAAAGAAAAATGCAATTTTTGTTTCAGAAAACTACTTCTCCCTATACTCTCAGCACTAACTCTTTCCTGAACACCTCACTAGATGGCAAGAAGAGAAGAGTGGCCTTTTGACATAACCATCCTCCTCCCTTCCAAACCTCTCTGACATTCCTCTGTTCCTGGCTCAGTGTTCTCATACCACCACAAGCCCTTTCTGGGCTATGCAGAAATGTTTGCTTAAATACCTCAGGGCTGCTGCTACACGAGGAAAGAATAAAAGTGATATATTTGTGTGATACATCACAGTTCAAAATGTTACCACACACTCTTTCATTTCATTTGATCCTCCTCCTAAAAGCTGACTTTATAAACATGAGAACTGAGGTTGAGACAGCTTAAAATAAGAAAAACCTACATTCAAACTGTCAATGCCCTGTGCTCTGCCACATGACACTCTACAATACTGCTTTAGTGAAGCTGATTTCAGCTAGGTATTAGTGGAGCACGATCTGAATCAATACACACAGGTACTGGTGACTGACACTAGTACTCACAGGCATTTGCATTTTTAAAAGAAGATGTTTTATAGCTTAAGTAGTCTTCCATTTGGTATAATTTTAGGTATTACAATGAGATTGTAATTCGTAAGTTACATAAGTAAAAAAACAGATGTATATTAAAAAAAAATAATGGTCCCATACCCCTAGGCCAAAGATATGCCTATACAAATAGCTTCAAAAGAAGCTAATGTGAGAGAGAAAATTGGTAGAACTGGGTCCAGTAATGTAACATATGGTGAAAGGCATACTGTAAAGATGAAAGTGTTCATTGACTCTTATTTTGAATTACATTTTTAGCTCTAAGTAAAGCATTATTGTGATCTCAAATTTTATTGGGTTTTTCCCTCCAACCAAACTTAAAATTTTACACACATATCAAACATTTTCTTATGGTTTACTCTTCACTGTACTCAAATGCTTAGCTAAATTAATAATACCATAGAGCTTGATCATGTCATTCCAACCTCTGATGAAACCTGTGTGTCACAATTGTACACAACAAGCAAACAAATTCAGGGCAAGTGTACACACTCCTCCACATACATACATCTGTGCACAGATTCTCTCATCATACGTACATACACACATACACCCATACACACTATAGTTGTCAACCAACTAAATTGCGGAAGGCACATATCTGACATGGCCATCATCAAGATTACTGTAGTTTAAGTTACTATCTCTTGACACTATTTGCCTTAGCTATAGTAAGGTCACAAAGGCATTGATTCCAAAATTCTTCTCTGAGGTTGAAACATGCCCACAAACTGTCTCCTAATAAAATATTTCAAAGAGACAACGTAGTTTGGTGGAAGAAAAAGGTAGTCAATTAGAAATCTTCAATTCTAGTTCCCACTCTATCACTAACTAAAATTAAACATGTTTATGAAACACTGAACTACAGGTAAGAAGTCTATGGGCTAAAAAATATTTTAAACAATCATCCCAGTCCTAAAACAGCACACAAGACACCTGGACAGACAAACCAAGACTTAAAAAGTTAAACAATAAAATTCTTAAGAACTTCGAGATGGTAAGTGGTAAATGTTACTAGCCAATAACATTTGAAAAAGAAAAAAAGACCACTTAATCGTTTCTATAAAATTTCAGAGCACAGAGGATTTACTTTAGATTGAGATGATTTACAAATGTTGACTGGGATAAAATACAATTTCACCTTGATCTTGAAAAATTCATAAGAACTGAACAGCAGGAATAGATACATTTTTTACACGTATATAGTGCTTTGTAATTTCCATTGTATTTTCCTGCACACTTTTTCAACCTTCCCAATAATACGATGTGAACGATATCATTTATCACTCTCATTTTACCAATGGAAAAACTGGAGTTACAAGTGGTTGAATGGCTTATTCAAAACCTCAAAGCATACGTTCATTCATTGACTGTAATTATTTGAACAGCTAGGAAATGCCAGGCACTGCTGCAGGCACTGGGAATACAGCAGTGAATAAAGCAAAGACCCCCTCCTCATGGAGCTAATATTGAATAATACAAAATACAACATAAACTGAATCTTCGATGGGCAGGAAATAGGGACAAGGATATAGCAGACAACCGGAACATTAAGAAAAAAAGCTTTGGAGCTAGAAAGTCCATGATACATAATAAATCGTACAGTAGTTTCGCCACCACTGCGGTTGAAGTGGGTTTAGAGAAAGTTTGGAGGCATTGTGAGGCCTCTAAATGGCTACAAAGTTTGGACTTGATGCAGTATACACTAAAAGGAACAATATGATTTAAGCAATACTTTTTAAATAATGTAATTTACATTATTAATAGTGTGTTAATTACAATAACAATTGATGACTTACTACAGGCCAGGTGCTCTCCTGAACACTTCGTGTTAACTTACATAATTAGTACTATTTTTAGTTCCACTTATCCATGATGAAACTAAGGCACAAAGAGGTTTAGCAACTTGGACAAAACTAGACAAATAACAGGGCCAAGAAATGAACTGACTTTTTTGTCCAGAATCCAAGATCTTAACCATTCTGCCTACATACGAGGCACAAAAACAGCTGACAGGTAAGGAAGAGACTAAAAACAAGACGACCAATTTCTTGTCAATTACAGTAACCTTGGCCTGAAATATTATGGATATAAATTTGGTAGCTGTGGAAATTCAAAGACAAAAACAAACATATGGGAAAGGATAAAGGAAAGAATAAATTGGCTTTATTAAATAACTAAATTTTTAAAATAACTGCAAGTTCAAGTCTGGGAGACTAGGAGAAGGTGCTCCTAACCAACAAAAACAAGGATGTCAATGGAAGAAGCCAACTTGAAACTAACCAACAAAAACAAGGATGTCAATGGAGGAAGCCAACTTCAAACTGAGTAGTTTTGATCTGCATGAGATGTTATCAGCATCCTAGGGAGGAAATGCAGAAATGGACTCAGGAACTAAATCAGCTACAGACATCGTGTTCTATAACCTCTTCCTGGGTAGGATATTTCCTCTTTTGAAAGATGATGAGTTTAATCCACATGACTGTTGAGGTCTTGTTTGGATCCATGATTCTACAATTTTGTAATTCTATAAGCGGAGAGTAATCTTGAAAATTCTGAGCTAAAATTTCATGACCAAGGTAATTCATTTGTTCTTCAGGAGCTTCTGCATTTATTTCTGAAACCTTCTCCAAACTTCTTCTATGTGCTTTTGTGCTTTTATAACATCAACTCCCATGAACCAAAGTAAGACTTTTTGAAGGAAAAACAAAAACACATCATATCCTGATTTGTTTTTCTTTTAATTGTGGCTTTAAAATAGGTACTTTAGCTTGCGATGGAAATCTTACTGATAAAATGAGGGCTAAGAAATGAAATAAATCAGGACCTTTAAAAAAAAAAAAGCTGTTTAACTTAATTTAGCATTCTCCTTCTCCAGAAAACACAATATACTTCATAGATTGTCCAACTACAGACTGAATAAGTTACACACTTCATCACCACCAGCCATTAATCTTTCAGCCAGCAAACAGGTAGGCGGGAAGAAGTCTAAATTTAAAAATAAATTTAAAAGAGGAGTTTTTATAAATGCAAGGAATTTCCTTTAGCCCTTACTAGAAGATGCACAAAAGCACAGGGAAATATATGCAAACTCTGGCTTTATTCTCCATGCCTGAGTCTGTGAGTTGTAACAAAAAACATAGCAAAAATTATTTTCAAATAAAGTAGAACAAAATACTTCATCCTGTTCAGGAAGTAGCTCCTGTGAGCTGGTTTCTAGGTAACTGTGGACCCACTAGAGGGCAACAGAGTGTTCAGAAAGCAATTTGGCTTAAGAATAAAGAGCCTGGCTTTAGGTCACTAGTTCATGCAGCATTGCGCAAACCAGTCTCCATTTTAAAATCATGTTACATCTCCAAATGCTCCTTATGTTACCAAATAATATGTTCTGATAAAAGGATTCTCATTTCCAGTTTAATCATACTGGCATTTTCATTTCGCAAATAATAACAATATATTAATCCAAATGTTCTGTCATATTCAATATCTTCTTATAAAACTATTTTACCAATTTAATAACTTCATTCATATCAGTTTTGTTTAAAAAGCAGTTAAAATATACAGTAAAATAGTTTATTTGATGTTTAAATACCTAAAAACATCTAATGGTAACATCAAAACACCTACATTAAAAATACTGTAATAGCACTACCATAGTATCATTAATATAACAGCATTTGAGTTCTCAGTATATGCTATACTATACTTAAAATTTTATATAGTTTACCTACCTAGTTTTCCTACACCAACCCTGTAAGAACATTATATTCATTTTACAAATGGGGAAACCAAGACCAGAGAGATGAAGAAGCTTGCCCAAGGACTGATAACTAATAGGAGATAAAACTGAACTGAAATTATAACATTTGAATACCAGATATCACATGTGATCCAGTGGGCAATTCACTTGGAAGCCCTGAAAACCACTGGCATCTCTCCAAACTAGCCCCCTAGGATAGGCAAAATTTAGTCAAGAACAGAGGCATCTTTCCATGTTACTTTACTACATAATACAGTATTACTTTTGTACAGTTAATGAAACCATGGCAGTAATTGACTTTATATAATAGATGTGATAGACTGCCATGTTTTCATGTTATATTGCAGTTGTCTTCTTCAACCCAGCCAAAAATTAATAATGGCAATTACCAAAGAAAATAATCATTTTAAAAAGCTTAATACTCAGAAGCTCTCATGCTCACTTAAAAGGAAGGAAGCATTAAGCTTTGCAGTGGTTTACTAAGCATCAGTCTTCAGACTTCTTAGGGCCTTTACATACTGCAGCGAGAAACTGATAAGTGAACAAGGCTGTTTGTCTGTGACTTTGAAATAATTTCTACACTATAGACGATAACAGCATAATTAGATATTTAAAGATCAAGTCTCAAAGAGTGAAGGCTCACCCAATAAACTGAGGATCATTTGTGATGGACTTTGGGAGGAAGGCAAAGAACAAGGAACCCATCTGAAGTACAAAGCATTTATCTCATCCTGCAGGATCTCAATGCCCAGTCAATATGAAATTTGAGAAGACTAACATCACTTTAAAAGTTAAAATGGGAAAAGAGGCAGTGTATGTATTAGTGTCCTATTGCTGCTGTAGCAAGTCACCACAAATGCAATGGCTTAAAACATCACAAATTTATTATCTGACAGTTAAGAAATCTGAAACAAGTCTCACTGGGCTAAAATCAAGGTATCAGCAGGACTGTGTTCTCTCTGGAGGCTTTAGGGGAGAATCCATTCCCTTACTGATTCCAATGTCAGAGGCCAGCTACATTCTTCGCTGGTGGCACCTTCTCCATCTTCACAGCTGGCATTGGCTGGGTGTGTCTTTCTCACATTTATCTCTCTAATACTCTCCTGCCTTCTTCTTTCATTTATAAGGATGCTTGTGACTACATTGGGTCCATCCAAATAATCCAGAATAATCTCTCCATTTTAAGATCCTTAAGCACATCTGCAAAGACGCTGTGTCATGTAACATTCATATTCACAGGTTGTAGAGATTAGGGAGTAGACATTTTTGAGGCGCCATTACTCTGCCTACTGAAAACAGCACAGTCTATAGTTGGTGCAAAAAAGTAGTTACTGTAATACAAACTTGTTTTTCTTTGTAATTGCATATGGTGGTTAGACTTCAAGTGCAGTCTAAAGCGTCCAACTGAAATTAAACTGTATCTAAATCAAATAATCTGGGTCCTAGAGAAAAGAGGATGCAAAAGAAAGCAACAGAGGTAGAGCTGACAAGCCTTTACAATAAACTAGATGCAGGCTATAGGCAAACAGGGTTGAAATATATTAAATATGTATGGCATATTAATTCTGAATTAATTTATAAATAAATTGTATACTCAACTGTTTTGTTATACTCAACAGTTTGGTCTATTACCAACCTTTTCTTAGCAATGGTGGTGACTACGTAAAAGCAAAATTCATGTTAATTTATGACTGATGAATTTTCGTAATAGAAATTATAGATACAAGCGCCAAACTGCTTGACACATCAGAGAAGAAAAGAAATAAGATTACAGAAATTTAAATTCTAGGTTCCAGAGTCTGATTGTGCCATTTACTACCTGTGTGATCTTGGGCAAGTTACTTACAATTTCTGTGATTATTCTGGAAATTAAAAATAGGGATAACACTAGCTCTTGTCTTCAGGATTGCTTTAAAATAACGTAGAATAAATAAGGGCCAAAGACATTCTGGGCCATTGCTAGTCATCAATGATTAGGTTGTTACTATTGGGTGAACTAAGTTGGTAGCCTTTAGCAACCAGAGAGGAGACATGAGTGTAAAATTACAATTCTTAGATATTTATCCCAAAGAACTCGAATCATCAGACTGATAGACAAACTGAAGAATCTTGAGAATAACTGTCACAACCAGATAATTATTAAGTTTCAGCACAACATTTTATACAAATAGTTATCATAAGATGCAATATTCCAAAGCTGTTCCAATAATATTTTGACACATATAGGCTAGAAGTAGTGTAACACAGTGGAGACTTGGTCCCCGTGGAAGCTGTACTAGGAAAGCAAGTTTAAAAAACCAAAGCTCCCAAGCAGATACCATGTATGCGCCAAGCACTATGTTGGCCAAAGGAATAATAGAAGTAAGACCACAGACAAACCACTTTAGGCACAAGTTTTAAAAGTCATTTCTTAAGAACACTGGCTGAACTTTGTTAGAGCCTTCTCTAATTTGAAGTACAATATCATTTAACCTCTAGTTTCTACCTTTACTGAAGTGTATGGGATGGTGTTACCATACACTAAATGGCCCAGCCTCCCCTGCTTTCTAAGTTTCTGTTTTTCCTGCCTGATATGCTGCAATAGACCAACAGTTCCTTAATGCCACTTCTCACCTGGAGTGAGAGTCTTTCCTAGGAGGTGAGATATTTTGGGGTTAGCACAATGATTATGTGCATCTATCCGTGCCTCTTTGGACTTGTTCTCTATCCACATTTTAAATGCCAAAGATTATTAGGTAGCCAATTTGCAAACAGGTGAACTGTTATTTTGTCTAAGCTCAATACCGCCTCAAAGGATCCTGAGTGAGACTGATATGTCATTAAGCATCCACAAAGCATCACTTATAGTTACTTCTTAATCTAAACTGCCAAAAAGTAAGGTAAAATGAAATTTGGCAGGGCCTTCTTTCCACAATAGACATATGGACTATAAAGAAATCTTAAGATTACCAAGGTTGTCAGAAAAATAAGAAATTCTTTTTTTCACCTTTTTTTTTTTTTTTTTTTAGATGGAGTCTTGCTCTGTCACCCAGGCTGGCCTGCACTGGTGTGATCTTGGCTCACTGCAACCTCTGCCTCCTGGGTTGAATTGATTCTCGTGCCTCAGCCTCCTGAGTAGCTGGGATTACAGGTGCATGCCACCACTCCTGTGTAATTTTTTTGTATTTTTAGTAGAGATGGGGTTTCACTGTGTTAGCCAGGATGATCCTGATCTCCTGACCTCGTGATCCACCCACCTTAGCCTCCCAAAGTGCTAGGATTACAGGCATGAGCCACCGTGCCACTTACGTATTTTTTAAGAAGAAGAAATGGCAACACAATTTTTTCTAGCAACATCAAAAGTATAAATTGTCATAAACTCTGCAGAACAATACCAATTAGGCATCATGTAGAAATATTGAAGTACATTAACAGAATTGTTAAAGCCGAACCCAAGCAGTACTAATCCTCAGCTAGGATTTTAACTGATTATCTCACTTTTTTACCTTATTTAGTAATGGTGGTAGAGTCCCATTAAAACAGAGATTACATATAATAAAGCTGTTTCTGTGTGTAGTAAGTGGATTATGGTTATAAACTGCATTGCTGAGATAGTTTAAAAGAATGCTCTAAATGTGAGAGCTCTATGGGACAAATTATCTCCCTGGGCACTGTTCATGGACTTATCCTTCTAGTAATGAGGTATTGGATGAAGCTGGGGTAAGACATTTTCTTCTCGTCCTTCCTAAACTTGCCATTTTTTGGCCCTTCATTTTAATGTTCTGGACATCAGTGAAATTTAAGACAGGAACTGCCTTCTACATTAATAAACAATTAAAATATCTGGATTATTTCAAAGGAAGAAGATGATCCCTAGGGAAGAAGCAGAAAGTGAAACAGGGTGAAAGAACTAAAAACCCTTCTTCAGGGTTCTGAAGGTTAATAATACATTAGTTACCCTTTTATTTACCCTGAGACCAACTAAATAAACAGGAAGTATATATCAAAATTACATACAGCAAGAGTCAAGTGTAGAAAGTAAAGCTGTCTTTTTCACTCATTAATTCAGTAAGTATTTTTGGGAATCAAGTTTGTGTAAGATATTATACCAGATACTACTAACAAAAACACACAAATAAAAATCTCCCAAGTCCATGTCCACTAGGAGCTTACAATCTATTTAGGGAGATAACTAGGTTTATCTAGATAGCTAGTTATTTCCCTAGATAGACTATAAAACTTAGTTAGTTATCTCCCTAAATAGACTATAAAATCGCTAATAACAACATAAAGCAAAACAGGTTTTAATTACAAAATAAAATATGAAAAGTAAATGTATAAGATGTCTGCAAAGATTAATGTAAGTTTGAACAGTCTGAAGAGATCTTATGGAAAAAGAAAAATATAAACTTCACCTGAGTTTAATAAATCACTTATTTATATTCCAGTCCAGTTAGGTAAAACACAAAAATGTACACATACACACCCCTGAGATTACAGGGAAAAAATATAGAGAAACATGTTTCCAAATATAAATTAGCCTTGTACAAACAGCACTAAAGATGTATAATAGAAGAAACTTTGAAAGCTAGATCTCTCTGACAGAGTTCGGTTTTGGAAAACACATTAGCCATTGATGACAGGAGCCAAACCTGTAGTATTAAACCTGTCTCAACAGCAATAATCGTGTGTATTGCAATGAAATAGTATACTTTCACACCTTCCTCTGTATAGTCTCAGAAGAAAAATCTCATTAAAACAAGATATTTGCAACGAGATTATTCCCAAATAAGTGGCAGAACACGCTCAAACTTTTTGGAGTATTCAATTTAGTGCCTTTTACTGTAGCAGTGAAAATAAGACTATCACTCAAGATAGTTGTTTGCCAGCTACTTTCAGAAAAATCTTCACTGTAATTCTTCATAAAACTTGCTGCCCCATTGTATTCTCTACTTTGAAACACATTCACGCCTCAGGCATTTAGTTGAATAGTTAGCAAGGGCCAGGAATAAACTACAGAGCCAGCAACGACAATGATGATTCCAACAGCCTCACATATGAAACTAATTTATTAAGACATATCAGAAACTCTTGGGAATGAAGTGTCTGCTAATTAGGCCAACACAAACAGATTCCCAAACCTTAACACAGTTTTTCCAAACATCTGATGAAGAACTTTGATTTATGGGCTGTCCAGGTGAAACCTGAACAGATGGTATCTTTTAATAATAATTGACACATGAGTTTGTTAAGGATTTCAGTCTCTTGAAAACATGCAGCTCTGTAGAGGAAAACAAAGAGGCACATTTTTAGAGTTATCTACCTTGTCTTTATCTTCAACAACATCTGCCAAGACATCATCTGGATCCAGGATTCCTCCATCTGTATATTCTAAGTGATGAATCTTCACCCAGTAACCAGGACCCTATAGTAGAACAAACACAAGTTTAATGACCTAATCTATGTTAAAAAGTTAAACACATTTTAATGTTAAGAGACATAAGTTAACTTGTTAAAAATATGTTCTAGTAATCAAATTTTTAAACACTGAAAACAAATGTTATCTATTTATTTGGAAAAAAATACTTGGCATTTTTATCCTGTTTAACTTAAATCGGAGAATCAAGGTATACATATTTCATCAATTTTCCTGGAAGGTAAATTGCAATGCAAAAATAAACTGTTTGAAAAACATACTCAGGGAATTTTTATAACCTACAACTCAGGTAATTCCAAGAATACTCTGGAAAAGAAAGATCTTCTTGAGGGTACTTTCTGAAACTAGGAATAAAAGTCCAAACAGATTCCAAAGCTGTAGGGAAAAAACCCTAAAGGCAGAATCTGTGATGGTAATAGCTATCACTACAAAATATATAAATGGAATGGGTAGCCACCAACATCTTCACCTGTTTAAATCTCCATGTTCAGCATGCAGCCTCACTCTGAGATATGCAATGATGCACAGAGCAGGAGCTCCAGCCTCGCTTGCCATTTCCTGCAGCATGGCAGCAACTCAAACTGTGTTCAGAGTTGAATGGGGAATTCACTGAGTTGGGGTAGTAATTAAAGAGATGTTCAACTATCGCTTTTTAAAAAACTGCTTACTTTTAAAAACCGCTTACTCTGATTCTAGAATTTAGAATTAAATAATCTAGCTCATTCAGTTACTTACGTACTGCCTATTTCCAGGATAGCTATGAAAGTGAACCATTATAGCGATGGGACAAGAACATGAACCAATGAATGAAGTGAAGAAAAACATGAGTAAGGTTTTACCATAATCCCCAAGCTATAATCAATTTGGTTCTGTGAGTCTTAGAAAGCCCCTCAAAGTGGGAAACTTTTGAGCTATAATACACTTGGTATCCAATAAACGAACAGATACCAGTTTGTTAAAAAAGAAAGATGGAAATTCTTCTAGGATACAGCTCTAAGCCTTTCCCATACAAATCTTTATTAGGGATAAGAACTAATATAACCCACGGAATTCAATTTCAATTTCATAAAAGCTAATAGAAATGGTTGTCATACAGTCTTCTTTTTAGCTGACCCCCAATAAACAGTAAGGGCATACTATTAAACAATACTTTTTTAAGGCATCTATTTGGAGAGCTACTAAAATGTGACCCAAGTACATAGCTTTCCAGTAATACAACTTGGTAAAGTGATAGGCTTTAAAAATCTAAAGGAATTCTCCTTAGTTAGGCTTTAGACATTTCAAAATTAAGTTCTCCATACAGTATTGAATTTCAAGTAAAATAAAAGGAGTTTTGTTTACTTCTAATACTGAGTTTATAGGTGCAAACACCAATGATTTACTAGGAAACTTTAAATGCCTGACTCTGTGGCACAGATAGAGATCTCAAAGATATAAGCAGTGGGAGTATAATCAGGTAAGAAAGACACACAACTCTCATTATTCAGTTTCTTTAACCAGAGGTCTTTGCCAACCCGAAGTAATTGTGCTGTAAAAGATGAGCTAAGTATAATAGGCCAGATTTCAAAAAGGGAGGATCCTAGCATAGAGAAAACTATGTAATGGCCACTGGACAATACAGCTCTCCCCCAGCAATATTTGGGAATTAAATCTTTTTTGTTATGGCCATGCCGCAAGCAACATATTTCTTCAAATCTACCCAGGACTTCTGACGGAAATATTAAGTATTATTTATTCCTTGTAAAAAGTCTGCTTATAAAAAGAGTTCAATTTAATTAATTTCTATAAACTTCCATTGAGTTTTTTGATATATTACCTAGCTCTGTAGATGAAATCTGTTGATTTTAACCATGTTTATAAAAAGTAATGTATTCTAAAGAGTTTTCTTTATAGTATATTTGTACTTAAAAGCAGGCATCTATCAGTTATCTGCTTTTTTCTCAAGTTCAGTTTGTAAAAGCAGATTTTATCACCTACGATGGAGGTAAATAATCATCCTTCACAACTGCAGTAAGTTAAAGTACACCTTCCTGCCTAGAGGTGGAAACACAGAGAGAAGAAAACCAAAGAGTCCTAATTTAAAATAAAGTAACTCAAAAAATAGCCAAAGATAGGATTTGATCAGTGGCAAAGGGAATATCAAACAAATGGCAGCAAGATGGGGTTGCCGCATCACATCCATTCCTCCCTCACGCACACTGGGATCCAAGACATTGTGGAAAATAAGACACGGAGTTGAAACTAAGACACTGTTCTCTAATTTGATTCAAAAGAGCTCAGAACTAAATGAAGTAAAAAAGTATCTTGATACATTTTGGAAACATGTATTTGACCCAAAAATTTTAAGTGAAAAACATGGTGTCAGAATATGGAAAGACTACAATTTGAACTCCCTATTCCACATTGATATTGCCATTTTATACATTCCAAAGAAGAAAAGAGTAGGCTAATGATGGGCATATATCTACACCTAACCCTGAACAAAAACAGACAAGCCATAGGAAATCAGTCTCAGGGTTAATATTTTACACATCTGAGAGGGGGCAAAATGTCAATAAACCACAGTACATACCAACTGTGATTTTTGTCCCCATGGTATTTTGGCCATGGTGCTATTGATCACTCAAAAATGTACATACAAAATATGCAACCTACAGCCATCGTAAGACCATAAATTTATCCTGACTCTTTAATGCATGTAAAAATTTCAACCATTACATTGCAGTCAACATTTTGCATTTCATTTACATGGTTTTATTGCCATCAGGAATAAAACTGATCAGATATGAAAAGGTGTTCACATATGTGTTCTGGTTCATACTGTCACTGGGAAAAAATTACTATATTTTTATGATTATGACACTTAACTTGCCTTTATATTGCACAAGTAACTGTGGTACACATAGCTTTTAAATTATTTTGAAAATATCTCTAATATATGTGTTCATTTTGCTATGCAATGTCTTATTACTTATACTCCTAGGATCATTATTGAAAAATAATGTTATAATTATGTTTTCTCCACTTTTGACATTATTGTATCTGTTTTTAAAATAAAAGAGTTAATTTAAATGCTACTAAAATTTTAAAACTAAAACTAGCCTATGAGAATGAATTGCAAAAGGAAAGCAAAACAAAAACACAGGCATTACAGGAAGAAGAGTTATTTTTAATGATCAAATGTAAAAATGGTTCCAAATAGGCTTTAATACTAATAGCACCAAAAGACCTTCACTATGGGTAGATGACATGAAATTTTACCTTATGCATTAGAAAATTTACATTAACCATGTTTGAAGTACAATAATTTTCCACTTGTAATACCTAAAGGAGTAGACTGGCAACCCACATACTATAATGCTGTGACTACCATGAACTGGGATTATGCCAATAAACACAAGAAAGGGAAAACTTGGAGGGGCCCAAGCAAGATGCCTGTAGTCCAAGAAGAAAAAACAGCCTGCAATGGCAGCGAGGTCCCAAAGTGGGGAGAGTGCTGCAAAGGAAAAGCCGATTTTTGGAGAGGGGCTACATGAATTACAGTTCTCAGCCATGCAACTGGTTTCCTGGTGGCTTAATGTTTTTACTAGAAGAATCTTACCTACTGGAACACAACAGCAATGGTCAAATGGAAGGTAAAAACAAAACGGAATTTTCTTTATAGAATTTAACTTCATGAATTTGGTGGCACATATCCACAAAATGAGATTTTACCTATAGGTCAGGTACTATAGGTACTATGTGTTTTGTATGATTAACTCATTTATCCTCAAAATGCCTCATAAAACAGTTAATCCATCTTACAGATGAGAAAACCAAGGTAGGTGAATTAACTTTCCGAAGTTCAGACACTGAATAAGCAGCAAAGCCAAGGTGGGATTTTTTTTTAAACACAGAAAATATTTTGTTATTAAATAACTTAATACAAAGCACAATTACCAAGGAATCAGGCAGGGAATCAGGTCCATTTCTATCCCTACATAAGCATACGTACCCAGGCAAGTTGCCATTATTCTGGGCCTCGGGTGCATCATCATTAGTGAGCCTGGAGACTGGATGGCCTTTTGTATGATGCACCTCATAGAGGTCAAAATGCAGAGACATGGGGGGTGACAATGGAAGGCCCCAAATTCTTTGCTTAAGTGGGTCTGTCCCATGCTTCACAAATGAGAATTAAGTGGGGAAACCTTCAAAATATAATCTTCATAATCATAGACTTAAGGGTTTTGGAAACAGTGGAAAAAGATCTTACTGCCAAGAATAGAGAGGGAGTTTGAAGCACCAGAAATTAGATAGAGAATTACAAAAATGTACTTGCACATAACACTTAATTACTTTTATAATAATCTCCTGGGGGCATTCTCCCCTCTACCCAAGACCAAATGAGAATCAGATGCCCCACAATGCACCCAGGAAGGAGAAGGTGACAGAGCATGTCTGCAGACTGTTTGGGGCAGACAGAGAACAGGAGCCTCTGAGTAGCCAGCCACAGAGCAGTGCAGGGAAAAACAAGAGTTTTGGAAAATGACACCCAAACAAAGCCTAGCAGAGCAGCACTGACACGTGAAAGGAAAGAATCAAGCCAGAAAAGGCAGTGATGAATATACAGTTTATTATGAACCAGCCCTAACTGGCTTCAGAACACGCCTTCACCTTCCTAAAATAGATCAACCAAGTGTAAACTTCAGGAGAAAAGCCTAGTAGAAGAACATGGGCTGAGGCTGTTTGAATTAACTACAGTATGTTTCCAAAGAATTCAGCAGAACTAGAATGGGACCCGGAGTTTTTATGCTGGGTTGAAAGTAACACCTAGCAAGTCCAATAGAATTATAAACCTTTAATTACATATAAAATGAGGGAGAATTAGTCCATACATATATTTACTTCCAGATCTAAAAATCTATGATTCTATCAAAAGAAAGTTGGTATGGCCATACTAATCCTAATATCAGATAAAGGAGACTTCAAGGAAAGAAGTATTAATAAAGATAAAGTGGGATATTCAATCATGATAAAAGGCTCAATCTAACAGAAAGATAACAATGTTAAATGTGTACGTACCCAATAATATAACTTTAATACATATACTGTCAAAATGAACAGATCTTTAAAAAATATTTTAAAAACATGAATTGGGAGACTTGATAGGAAACAAAAAATTGAAGAAGATATAAATCATCTGACTGACACAAGTAACAAATGTAGCCTAACTTATTTGTATTATATTTGCACACACACACACAAATAGTGTAACCGAAAAGATTAGAACATACTTTATAAGTGTACATGGAACGTGTACCAAATTTCAAAGGTCTGAAATCATTTAAAATATGTTCTCTTATCACAGTAGAATCAACCACAGAAAAATATCTCAAAAATGCCCAGCTGTTTGGAAATTAGGAAATACAGTACTGAAAAATCCATAGATGAAAAATAAAGGCAATGAGAAAATACTTCTAGTAATTAAAATAGCAAAAATGTGTGGAATGCAGGTAAATCAGTGCCAAATGTGTCAGTTATGGTCTTTAATGCACATATTAACAAGTAAAAAAAATTGATCAAAAAGCTAGAAAAAAAACAGCTAATGAAATCCAAAGACACAGTGAAGAAAATAAAGAGCAAAGAACAATGAAATAAAAAAACAACAAATAAAAATCAAAGTTGGTTTTATGAAAAGCTTGACAAAACTAGTAAATTCATAGCAGAACCAATCAAGAAAAATAAAATAAATTTCCAATATCAGGAAGGAACAAAGGCAAGCAAAACCATTATAGATCCTACAGATACTGAAGAGAATATTCTAAAAACCTTGGACCTATAAATTTAACAATTTTTATAAAATGAACGAATTCTTCGAAAAATACAACAAAATGGACAGTAAAAATACAAAATATGATTAATACAAAAACAACAAGAATTAAATTGAATTTATTGTTTCAAAACCTTCCAAATGTTTCTTCAAAAGGAAAATTCCAAGCTCAGATGACATCACAGGTAAAATCTTCCTAATATTTAAGGAACAAATAATGCCAATCTTTTATATAAATACTTCTAGAGACTAGAAAAAGAGAAAAATTCTCTCAGCTTTTTTTAAAAAAGATAGCATAAATTTGATACCAATATCCTTACAAGGATATTACAAGAAAATAATATCCCAGTCTCTCTCTTTCTCATGGATATGTAGGTAAAAATCTACATATGTAGGTAAAAATCTTAAACATTTGTAAATCAAATTCAGTGATGTCTATAAGGAATAATACATGATAACCAAGTGGAAATTATTACAGTCATGCAAGAGTTATTTAAAAGTCAAAAATCAACCTAAGTTATTCATAAATTAATATAGAAAAAATGATAAAGATCAAATGATCACCACAATGGATGCAGAAAAAGCATTTGAGAATAGGCACCACCAAATCACAGTATAGAAGTATCTTAGTAAATAAGGCAAACCAATAACTAAACAAAGAAAACCAGTTAAAGATTAAAAAAAATTAAAAAAAAATTGTAACATTTACAATAGCATAAAATCAAATACTTATGAATGAGTCTAATGAAAATATGCAAAACATTTATGATTTAAAATTATAAAATATTAGGAAAAATTAAAGAAGACTATCATAGATTGAAAAGCTCACTATTGTGAAGATATTGATCTTGTCCAAATTGACTGGGGTTAGGGTAAGGATTGTGAGAATACAAAGCAACTAGAATTCTAGTACACTAAGGGTAAAAGTGTAAATGTATACAATCACTTTGGAAAACTGGCAGTAACTGAACATAAACATGCCATAAAGCTGAATGAACATCACACATAACTCAGCAATTCCACTTCTGGGTATACATCTAACAGAAATCTGGGTATATATCAAATCCTGCTATGAATATATACCTAACCAAACGACACACAGAATATTCATAGCAGGATTATTTTTAATACCTAAAAATCTGGAAATAGCTCAAATATTCGTAACCAGTAGAATGTATAAACTACAGTATGTCCATGCAATGGAATACTATACAGCAAGAATGAACAAAACTACAAGTTTATGCGACAACATGAGTAAATCTCGCAACATGAAATTGCATAAAAAGAGCCAAATACAAAACAAGCACCTTTTGTATGATTACATGCATAACAAGTTCAAAAAGAGGCATAATTAATTCACAATGTAGAAGTCACGAGACTGGTTACTCCTTGTGAGGGGGAAGGGTGGTGAGTAGAAAGAGGCATGAAGCGGCTTCTAGGGCAATGTTCTATTTCTTGATCTGTATGTTAGCGATACCGACAGGAGGCAGGGAAATACTGGATAGAAGAGGGCAGCTCCCTGGCAAAGAACCCACCCTCGAGCCTGGAATCTGCAGCCCTAAATGAAAACAGTTATCCGTTTTCCAGCTCAAATGCTACTTTTTGGCCCACCCAGCCTCCGTATCTCGTGCTCCTATAAACCTCAGAGCTCAGCTGGCAGAGAGACAAGCGGCTGAACATCGAGAGGAGAAGCAACTGCGCATCAGAGACTAGAAGCAACTGCGCATCAGAGACTAAGGCTAGACGCGGCTTAATGTCAGACCACACGACTTCGGAGACGACCCGGCTGGAGTCAGCCAGGCTTCAAGGAAAGACTACTTTCTTCCCGCACCATCCCCGCTCTAGCTCCTTTTCCACTGACAGCCACCTCCATCAGTCAATAAAACCTCTGCATTCAACATCCTTCAAGTCCGTGTGACCTGATTCTTCCTGGATGCCAGACAAGAACCCGGGTACCAAGAGGGCAGGGTATATGTCACCCTGACTCTCCACTGAGCTGGTTAAGGCTTAGCTCTCTGTTGAAGGCAACAACCAAAAGGGCATTGTTTGTAATACACAACCTCTGGGGCTCCAGAAGTTGCGGGCAACCACTGATTGCTACCACGGGCCCGGTTACTGGGTTTGGTCCTGCCAGCACCTAAAGGCACTTGCCCCAGGTCCTGCACCTGCTCACCTGCGTGCTCCCCCTCCCACAAGCGGTTTGAGCTCGGCTGCAAAGGAGCCACCCCTCATCGCAAGTCCTGCGAGGGAGTCAGGGACTCTCCTGTCTCACCAGCTATACTTAACTTGTGTACTTTTCTGCACGTGTGATATACTTCCAAGGTATTTACATAAAAATGAAAATAATATCTTTGCTTCCAAAAATGTGACTTTTTCAAACTGAAATACCTAATTGTTCCTTTTGCACATGCCATCTCTACAGCTAAACAAATGAAGACCACCAAAAAGCTGTTCAGAGTAAGTCTAGTTTCCTCAGAAGAATAAGGACAAATCCTAAAACAAAAGGAGTGTAGAAGTCCCAGAAGATGGGAAGGCCAGGTTATCCTACCAATAGAACATGTAGCTAACTGACTACCAGTTATTCAACATTTCTAAGAAGCCCAGGAGATGCTTAGTTGACCACAGGCTTTAACAAGTCAACAGTGATGAGTCTGCTAAAAATATTATTATTACCATCTTAGGCTATGATAATACAAGGACTGTGTGAGAACAGAACAAGGAATCGTTTCACTCTGTGCCAAAGTGGTCCCACTACATTTAGAGTATTTTGTCAGATTTGAAGAGACCATCATTAACTAACTGGAGATGACCCATGTGACAGTAACCACAAAGGTTAAGGAGATGGAAATACATCTTATGATGAGTGAGCTGAATTAATTGAGGCTTGTCTAAATTGGAGAACAAAAAGGAAAACACTTTGCTATTTCAAAGACAGAACTACAGTTTACAGGGCACTGAGCTCTTAAAGTTATCAGGTAAGGTAAAAATTACTTATTAAAATTAGTCCTAAAAATCCCTTAGGGAGACACCACAATGGAAGTGAACATACGTCCTCTGAATAAGGCCAATGCTACCTGTTTTTAATCTAGACTTGGAGTATTCATTGTCTTTTCAGTTGAGCACCAGAGGAAGTATCTGGATTACACTGGAGACTATATTTTATGTAAAAGTTTTACCTTAAACACTTAGACCTCCGTAAATAAGTACATGAGAACTGAGACAACAGAGGTAACAGCAGAGAGTTAAATGACCATAGGAGATCTCCAATCCAACTAAAAGCCTTCCACATAAAAGAGAGATTTGGCTTTTTCTGTGCTGTTCTAGAAATGATACATAGACGATAGAGAGGTAGAAACTCAGCGTAAGAAAGATCCTTCAAAAAGAACAATCTTGGCCGGGTGCGGTGGCTCACGCCTGTAATCCCAGCACTTTGGGAGGCCGAGGTGGGTGGATCACGACGTCAGGAGTTTGAGACCACCCTGACCAACATGGTGAAACCCTGTCTCTACTAAAAATATAAAAATTAGCTGGGCGTGGTGGCACGTGCCTGTAATCCCAGCTACTCAGGAGGCTGAGGCAGGAGAATTGCTTGAATCCAGGAGGTGGAGGTTGCAGTGAGCCGAGATTGCACCACTGCACTCCAGCCTGGGTGACAGAGCAAGACTCTGTCTCCAAAAAAAAAAAAAAAAAAAACAATCATAGAGTAGAATGGGATGTATGGTAAAAACATGAGCTCTCTACATCTTTCAAGAGTGAAGCAAAGGCTAGATAGCCGTATCTCAAGGATGCTACAGGATAAGACGTGGAACTTCTGTGATCCTGAAGATCCCTTCCAACTCTCAGACCTACAGCACCTAGAACCTCAAAGATCCTTAGGGCTTTGAGCTCTTGAAAGAGGAAATCTCTGCTGTAGGGTAGGAATAATAGATTCGGCAATTCTGCAGGATTCCCCTGTTACTGTGCATCCCCAAGCAGAAAGTCTATTCAACAAAACATCATATTTTGAATTCCCCAATCTACCCGTTATTCCAATGTCTTGCCATGTAGCCTGAAAATTCATTAATTTATGAACAAATTTAAGAAAAAGGTCTTTCATCTCCAAGGTAAAAGAAATACTCTTGGTAGGGGGGAAAAAAAAGCCTGAGAATTTTATATTGATTTGAACATTATTTTTGAATAGGCTGTTTTCTCACTCTAAAATAGTTCTCCTCCCACCTTCCCCTCATTACCACCCCCCGCCCCAAAAAAAATACTTGGAATTTTCAAGCCTTGACTAGTAAATTTATAAGTTCAAAGACTGGAAGGAATTCATTGGCTCAGAGACCACCGAGAATAGGCCTCTTATTTTAAAGACAGGGAACCAGTATAAACCATTATGTATAAACCAGTATGGCTTAACAAAGGTTAAGCCATAGAAAAGGTATTAATAGTTGTTTTCTTCTGATGTATAATTCTAAACAAAATAATTGCAATATAAAAGCACCAACAATTCCAGGGAATTTGTTTCTACAGTATCTCATAATCTAAGTTTTAATAATATTACTTATTCCCTTTTTCAAATAGAAAAATATTTAAGTATTGAGACATATATTTCACTTCCTAGTTCATATATCAGCTAAATATTTAAAGGAATGTTAATTAACCCATGTCACTTTCATTCAGCTTTGTGAAGTAACTATAATCTCAGCGGTTTTCTTTATATAAAGGGCTTTAGAGGTTCATTTTTCATTTTAGGATTAATCTAAATTTATTTGAGAAGAAAAGGTCCAGATCTAGATAGAGCTTTTTTTTAATAAAGAACAAATTTTAATTATTTCCAAATGTACTGTCTACATCATCTCAAGACACTGACTTTATAAGAATATAGAAATTTCATTTTCCTACAGCTCTAGGAGTGAGTTAAAGGCTCACTCTTAAATGCATGAAAGTATAGGCCTTATGTAACTCTTCAGGTTTATATACAGTATAATCACAAAACTGAAGTTATATCAGGAAAATTAAACGTTAAAAGTCTGAAATTAAAAAAAATTAAAGATATTTAATGCATAATTGATGCAAATATACTTAAGCAGATTAAATGGATTTAATCCATTTAAAAACAATTCTCAGTATGAAAGACGTAAAACACTGAACCATTACTAATTTAATAATATTGAAAAACAATGACTCAAAGTAATTTTAAAGAAAACAGCTGATTTTTTAAAAATCCTGTTTTCCATTATTTGTTTCCAATGAAATTTTATAGTCCAAAGCCCTGGATGCCAAGGTTTTAGAAACTTGTGTGGTCCAGAGGAATTCAAAGCCTACACCTAAAAAGTGGAAGGAGCCATCTCTCCAAAGAGAAGAGCAAGCTATTAATTTTTAGAATAATTCTTCCATTATAAAGCCCTAAAAAACATTCTGCTACAAAATGAATTTTAATAAGAATAAATTTGAGAATGCAAATTTGTACAACTCACAGTTTACTTAATATCTCCAATTCAAACTTTCTTGGTGCTATAACGTTGGCATCTTTGTATGCTAACTCCAAAGAATACTTTCGACAGATAGTGTCTACCAGTTGTGTGTATCTTTGTGTATATGAATGACTGAGTAAGGTTTAAAGCATTTTACAGGTAACAATAATGGCCCTTAGCTCTTCACTTGAACACAGTTTTATGGATCAATCAAAGAAGAGATTAAGACACAGAAAGGAGAATTTTAATTTATTGCAGAAGAGGTACTGGCGGCCGTGTTTATAAAATAAGTTAACTTTAATAAACTAACTCTAAGACAAACATAAAGACCTCATCCACTTTACTGCAACCACCTACCTCCCGCCAACACCCACCCCCCTCCCACACTGTTTATAAAACTTCTTTTCAGTGTGGCAGTAATAGGAATAGTAAGGGATTATTTGCCTCTGATCTTCAAAAAGGATTGGGGATAATACTACCTGCTACTGTTAGCTGCGTTTCTCTAACAACTTCATTCCTCCAGAATGCTGCAGAGGGATCACAGGTATAGCTAAAAAGAATACAGAGAATGCAGAGAAGAAAGCAGGAAGAGCTAACCTCAAGTATCCCCTACTCAGAGAGAAATTTCTCGACCTAACTAACGCTGATTCCCTGGAAGTATCATAAATTATCAATATCATGTTATCCTTATTTTATTCAATTATTTGTTAATTTTATGGCTTAGTCTGCCCCAACTAGAACATAAGCACCATGATTCAGAAACCTCATTTATCTTACTCACTTCCATATCCCCAGCACTACTTCTGACATTCATTATGCATTTGTCATACAAATGAAGACAATGAGAAACAGAAAGGAGTAAGAAAGTAGGGGGACGGGCTCAGGGTATAACAGAGAAAGCCATTTTATTGATACTGAGTAAAAGCTCAAATCTTGAGACTTAGATCTTTTGATATAGACAAGGGCAGCATGGGAGAAGCAGAAACACTGTAGACTGCAGGTCAATGGCAGTCCTTTCTGCAACATGTGTTGAGTTCTTGCAACATCTAAGAAAAAAGAGAATAAAAATCCAGCTCTTGGAAGGAATAAAGCTTAAATTTTAGTGAAGGGAGAAGACAATAATTAACAAACAAAATACATACGTGAATTAATGATATGTTAGTAAGTGATAAGCAATTTGAGAGATAAAATACAGTAGGATGAGGAGGATGGGGAGTACAGGCAGTTTGTATTTTTAAATAAGGGGTCAGGCCCGGCCTCCATGAAAAAGTGGCATTTGAGCACAGACTTGAGGCAAGTCAGTGGCAGACTGGAGGTGGGGAGCCAGGTCTTCTAACAAATGGCTGTGCCCCAGGGCAAGTCTCATTGCAGTCATTTGTAAAATAAGTCAAAGCTCAGAAAAGCAACCCTTATATGAGAGTGGGAAAACTAGTTCGCTTGTCAGGTTGAATAAACTTGGTGGAGATGCAAAAACACCAAGTGGTAGTAACCACCTCTCTACCCTTGCCAAGAGTATCTTGCACCACACTGAGTAAATTTTTTATTCCACTCTACAAAATGAAATAAAATTCTACTACTTTTTACATCAGCATTAAATATGTTTAAAGGTACCTTTTCTTTTAAAAGAAAATACTTCTAGAAAGGAAGAAGAAGGGACTTACATGTTATTTGCATCTCAGATGGTTTTTCCAAACTGCTGATGTACAGCACAGCAGGATTGGCTGGGCATGTGCCACATAAATAGGATAATTCAGCATACTCCCCAAAATGCTTCGTGGAAAAAGTATGAGCTTTAAAGTAAGACTAGGCTGAAATTCAAAATTTACCACTCATAAATGGGAACAATATCCTCTACCCTCACTGGATTGTGAGAAATTCATTACATATTCACATACATTCACATACACGGGCATACATATACATACATATATTTTCTTTCTTGACAACAGACTCTTACATTCCAAAGGCAGCGCCATTTCTGATGTGTATGCCACTGTAATCCCAGCATCTGACACTGCACTCTTCTTACAATAGATGTGCAATAAACAGCGCCTGTGATTATTACTACTCTGCATAATTCTTCAAAACTAGAAGCTAATGAGCAGTTAGGAGGGCAAAGAGACCCTCTGGGCTTGGGAAAGAATAAAATCAGCAGGAAGTGAGCAAAAGGCCCAGAAAGAGAAGCACCAGAATGGTAGGCAAGTTTTTCACACGTCAAAAATTTGGGAAGAAACGCTCTTCCCAATTTTTTTCCTATGCCTGGATCAAAATGTAGTCTGTAGGCTAATGCATTCCATGAAACTGTTTGTTTTTCATTTGCAACAAAAATACAAAAATTGGGAGTAAGCATTTTTTAAAATTTATAGCAATTTTTATTGCTATATTCATGCACATGATTTTGTATTTTATAAAAGTATCTGTTTGCCATAGATGAACAAACAAAACAATCTGGTCCTCTATCACAAACAGTTTGAGAATTTCTGGATACACTGGCCATCTGCCCTTCATGTCCAGTGCCTTAGCTAAGATTCATAATTAACTGACACATTCATTGACATTAATCAAAATGTTGACATATGAAAAGCCTGTGCAGACAATACAAATTTTCATTTAAATATTCTTTACATGGGAAAAGGCAAGCCAAACTCCAAAAACAATTAGCTAAAACTTTTCAGAAAATAGCCTGCTAATAAAAGCTAACAGCTTCCCTTGGGTGTAACACCTTATCTACTTCAGGAATGCGAATGAGAAGGTAGATGAAGACATGAAAAACAATGTAGTATTGCCTACAATGATGTATCATTATACCATTATTACACTACTAAGTTATAAATACAGTGGGAGGGAAGCCCCAAGCAGGAATGCCAATTGTGTAAGAAGTAAACAACAACACAATATTAAGCTAAAAATTCACCTTATAAAGAAAGATGCTAAAAATTATAGAAAAATAATCAAAATGTTGAGGAAAAGTTTTCCGACGATTATATTACACTATCAGTTGCATACATGCACATATATATTTGAATATATTCATTCATGCATACATATTAATATAACCCCAAAGCTGAGATGACTGTGGGTCTTTATTTTAGCTGGTGAAAGAAAATAAGTTTCATCTTTATTGTTTTGAAAACTGCAGATACAGAAATATTTTAATTTTAAAAATTATCAGCTAACACACATCCACAGTTACAGTCATTACGACAATCTCATTCCTTCTCTGAAAATCATCCCCAAACAAGGAAATTAAGAAACAAAACCATAAACTCTATCTTCATGGAAGTAGCAGATATCTGTAACTCAAATCACAACATGCAGACAGGAAAAGGAAAGACAAGGAAGTAATGACTTCTCAGAGGGGAAGAAGGTCAAATCCAAGTTCCTGCCAATGAAGAGAGCTAGCATGAAACACAAGCCTATCTACTTCGACAGGGTCTGGAGACCCCAGGTATCATGAAAAGTAGACGAAGGTGGGGGCTGAAAATGGTGAACAAAAGCTGCCTGACAAATTCTTTAAGGAAGGATAACACTCCTAGGTAGGTGCCCCCCACCATCTCACTCATCGAGAGGCAAGAGATATTATCTCTGGAGAAACTGAAAAAGAGCAAGATCCAGACTCTAAGACATCAGGCACAGAGAAGGGCTGAATGTAAAAGGCTACAGACTAAAGACTGGGGGTCACATGCCAACCTTGCTACTCTATCCAACGCCAGCAAAGTAAAAACCAGGCTTACACTCAACCCTCCTCCCAGTCACTCCTGACAGGTGATTAGACGAATGTGCTCCACCAAAATGAGGGACCCAGGGAACAGAGGACCCAACACACAAGAGATGGGAAGGGAATTCTCAGATAAACGGTGACAGCAATTAACATAACCATGCAAGGCTTAGAGAAAAACCAATCCTGATGTGATCAGGACAATGAAGAAGGGCTCCAGGAGCAATGTTCCTAGGAAAAAGTCCAAAATCAATAGATTTTTGATGGTTTTAACTCAGTGGAAGATTGCAGTAAGAGACATTTTACATAACTATTAAAAAGAACGGAAAAAAAGCATGAGATTCAATGAAAACTAAGCAAATAAAGTCATTAACTCCAGTAAAACCAAAAGTTTGCACGAGACAAAAGGCAACCATAGTTATGGGCTCAAAAGTAACAATAGCTGCATTCTCATAACAGTAAAAACACTGAATATGCATTTAACCAAATAGCCTAACAATAATTTTAGGAAACAAGGAGAAAAAAACGTATAGCTTGAGTTATAGCTATAAAATAGCTAGTATTTTCAACTACCTTAATCAGATGTAAACAGAAAATGTCTAAAATTGATGAACCAAGGAATAGCAGTAAATTCATATTTAGACATAAAAGCACACTGGTATCCCTTGATTCATACATTATTAGAATTATGGAGAAAAATAGAAAAAACCTGTGGGGTTTAGAGTGAAGGGTTTGGAGTGACTGCTTCTTAGAAGTGGTTTGGGCGGCAGGGGGCCATTGGACCACTGTTTTTGTCATGGGCCTTTTAGCACTATTTGACCCTATAAACGAATTGGCAAACTGTGACCCATGGGCCAAATCCTACCTATCACTGCTTTTGTAAATAAAGATAAAAGGGAACACAGCCAAACTCAGAGTTGAGCAGCTGCAACAGAGGTCATGTGGCTTGCAAAGGCTAAAATATTTACTTTCTAGATCTTTACAGATAACTTTGCCAACCCTTCTTTAAACCATGTGTAAGCATTACTTTGATTTTAAAAAATTAAATGGTACAGAAGAGTGGCCCAGTTCTGTATTCTCCAGAGGCAACTCTTTTAGATCTTTTAGTCTTTTTGAATTTTAACACCTTTTCTCTAAATAATAAGCATTTCTGACTGTCCCAACCGTTCAACTTCAGAATCATCTTTTGACTTTCTGAAATCATTCATGGGAACTTAGTGAATTTAGAGTCCCCCAACTTTTCCATCCTTTCCATTAATAGAGTTATTCAAATATTTTTATTCCCTTTAGTGGTTACCTTTATCTTTAATAAATGACTATGTTTATTCTGTCATCTAAAACAGCATCTCTTCATTCCTCGGAGTAAAAGAGGACTTGGCAGCCCTTACTCTTTTCCTCACCTTCCACCCCTTCCCTTCCCATTTCTGTCGGCTCTACCTTTACTTTTATGCTACTGAAGTTGCAAATATTTACATTCTTTTCTGTAATGATAACCATACTTTCTCTATAATTTGATTCCAAAAGTTGAAAACCAATAGACAGTATGGACATTTATTGCAACCAAGGAAATAGTGTTCCCTGATAAACCAAATAGGAAATGACTATTTGTCATTCCTAACAATGCCAATGTCGTAACTACTAAACCATTCAAACAAGAATGTTCGAACATATTCTCCTTTTTACAGCTCAAAAGCATGTTGGGTTACTGTTATGCAAGTTATAAGAGGTGACTTTATATAAAATATATAGTGAGTTATGCCAAAATGTACTTAGATAATAATTATATATTGATAAAAGTGGATATAATCACATTCAATAGCAAAACAAATTATCCAATTTTGTATAGGTAAAAAAAATTACTCCTTATGAAAGTAAACATGGTTGCCCTTGATCCTATAAAGTAAAAATAGGCTAACTCTTCTAGGAAAAATTATAAATGCCTGGTATCTAGAATGTAAGAAGCAACACATTCATATCACCAAACTGAAATAAAGAAGGGTTCTACTGGTTTCCTATTTCTCCGGTTACAAATTACCTACCAACTTAGTGGACTGCAATAACACTGATTTATTATCTTCTAATTCTGCAGGCCTGAAGTCAGGCGTGGATCTTACTAGGTGAACATCAAGATGTGAGTGGACCTGAATTCCTTTCTGGAGGCTCCAAGGGAGGATTCATTAACTTGCTTTTTCTACCTTCTGAAGAGGTTGCCCACATTCTTTAGCTCTTTGGTCCCTTCCAACTTCAAAACCATAAATGGCCAGTCAAGTCTGACCTTCTCTCCTGCTTCCCTCTTCCACAAATAAAGACCCCTGTGATTACACTGAGCCCACCAGGTTAATCTCTCTAGCTTAAAGTAAACTGACCAATCTTAATTTCATATGTTACCTTAATTCTCATTTGTCATGTAACATCACATATACAAATGTTCTAGGGACTAGGAAGTAGACATCTTTCAGATGGTGTTACTCTGCCAACCATAAGGACGGAATGTATTGTCTTTTTTATGAAAAAGGTGTCTTAACAGCACTAAGAATATTCCGAATTAAATGTAAATAAAAGTCAGTGTGCTAGAAGACTTACCTCAGAGATGTATTTGGAATGAAAAGGGTTACAAATTAAGCTGATGACGTAACTAAAAAACATATCTTCGGAAACTTTTAGTGTTAATTTAGAAGTCCAATCTTCAGGAAACGTTGAGTCAAATTCAACTTCTGGGCCTGACATTCTGGAGAATCTTACTCAAGGAAAGCATTAGTTTTTAAACAGTCCATGAGACAACAGAGGTATGAAACAGAGATGGAAAATCTAGAATTGAAATGAAACGTAAACTAACTGAGTCAATAAGAATTCAAAGTGAGCCAAACACATATTTCAATAATAACTTCTAATCTAAAGCACAGAAGCGCTAATCAATCAGAACAGATGCCAGCTGGGTAAGGCCATTCAAGTGTCACCAGCTGACTGCATCAGTCCATCCATTGACCTTTAGAGCTATGCTCACCATGGGGAAAATATTTCCAGACCAACTCTCTCCTCTCTCTCCTGCTTATTCAGTCCTTTCAGATTGGGGAAATGATTAGAATGCCTCCACAGTAAATAAGACTTCATAGACTTGAAAGAAGGCTTTTCATTTATTTACACCTCCTTCCACAACAGAAATGTAGGTTTATTATCAAATGATCCCCTGCTTTCTTCTGTCCATACAAGAATCACCAATGTTTTAACTCTCTTTATATATACACCTCGTTAGGCATACTTTTTCTTATTTGTCTTTGAAATCTTCACAAGTCTTTCACATGCTAAAAGGCAGAGTCCAAAAATTTATATGGCTTGTTAACAAACCCTGATTTAAACCAAACTGTTATTTAGTGTGACTACATGAAAGGCACAGCATAAGGCATAGTGGGAATATAAAGATTCTATGAAAGCGCTGCCTTTTCTCACTATGTGTGACTGCCTTTTTCACTATTTGTGACTCCCCCATGGAAGGCAGAGGCTCTCACACACACAAGCACACACATTCACATGCACACAAAAAATTAGACTAGAAGAGAGTCCATTATAAGATCTGTAACAAAGAAGAAAGCATGAGTGACAGAATGGGAAGGTGGAAAATGTGAGTCAAGTTCAGTATTTGCCTTAATTGAATGTGAGATGCCTCCAAGTGATCCAGGTAAAGAAGTCTAACAGGCAGCTAAAAATCTGGGACTGGAACTCAGAAGAGAGGTCAGACCTAGGACATACACATTGGTAAGTTATATGCATGGAGGTAATATTCAGAGTCAAGGAAAACACATGATATCTGAGGAATTTGAGGTAAAAAAAAATATTTAAGGTAAAAAAATTGAGTTTAAAAAAAACAAATATTTGAGCATTTGCCAACATCATGTATTGGGTGATTTCTATGCAGAGGCACTGAGCTTGCTGCAGTTACAGTAATGAACAAGGGAACACAGCCCCTGCTTTTATGAAGATTCCAGCCTAGTGAACTCTAATCAAAGAGAAATATCCCCAGTAATTTTAAGACCACTCCTAAGTAATTTTTATAACACCCATGATTAAGTCTTTCTGCCATTCTCTTGCCTTACCATGGCCTACTCAGCATTTCCTCATCCTCTCTCCCAGATGGGTATCCGGACATAAGCTGTCTCCCTTATATTCACACCATTCAATGCATATGTCCAGTTCTCAGTTTCCTTTGTCAATCAGCATCTTCTGCTCAGCCTTTACATCCAAATCCCTCAATGTTCACTCAGTCCTAGATACATGACTCTACTTTTCCATATCTCTGTTTTCTCTCCAGTAAGCTCATCTACCGCTAGGACTTTAACCTGGATGGCTCCCAAACACATTTCTACCATGACTTATTACTGAGGGCTCCAACCTTACATCTCAACATAGATGCCTAAACCTACATGCCCAAAACTGAGTGCATGGCATTCTACACCTTAGGTGTTTTTTTTTCATAGCAAATGGTGATAGTTTCCCACTTGTGTGAGCCAAAATTCTAGGATTCATCTATACCCCTCTCTATAACCCCCCTTATGATATCCATCGACAAATTCTATTGACTTTATCTTCTAAATCTATCTCAAGCTGTTCACTTCCCTTCACTCTTACAACTACTCTCTGGGCCAAGTTAACCATCATCTCTTGCTCTCACTACAGCAATAGCCACCTATTGGTTTCTCTACATCGACTCACTTTTCTCCAAATATTCCATGCCCTTCCTATAGTGACATATTTGGAGTCCTACTACTGCTTTAATCCAAAAAGCCCTTCTCCTTTGCTGAAATTACCTTTTATTTTTCCCTCTCTAGTTTAATATTAGAGAGTATCTCTCTAGGTCCAACCTTCATGACTCTTCATCTCACATATGAATCCTTCCTCAGTTCTCCAATTAGAATTAATTTATTATTCCATCGCACCCACCATTACCTTGTTCACATTTTGATTACATCTATTATTTCATTTTGCCTCTATGATTAGTTGCTTATTTGTTTCTTTCTCAAGAGCAGGGGCAATGTCTTCATCAACTTAAAATGCTTTACTCCCCCACTTGAGAGCCCAATCCATCATTATAAAGATTGCCTGGGCTCCACAGGCAGTCAAGTCCATTACTACTGGTGACTGCTGCATGGAAAAGATCATCATATTCAGACAAAGAATGGTTAGTACCAGAGTAAGTTCAAGAAGGAAAATTCATACCAGTAGGCATCAGGCAAACTCATTCATCATTCCATAAATAGTTACTGAACAGCTTTATACTCTGTGAGAGGACAATGTCACAGTCACAAACTCTTTAAAGTTTGCTATATCACATATACAGCCCAAGATATTCCTTGGAGCCCTCTAAAACTTGGTAAGAAGTACGCTAATCGATGCCTATGTTAGATCTCATTTATCCCACTAATTTCTAGTTTCTTGCAACCACAGCTTTCTTGTGAGAATACTTATAAAAATTACCAGTTAGAGGTCACAGACTGTGTCATCAAAAAGGGCCTTTCTTCTAATTACTTCATTTTACAGATGAGGAAATTGAGACCCAGATTTTACACACTCCCTGAGGTCACAAAATTGGCCAATGGCACAGCCAAGATCATAGCATGATTTCCCTGAGTCTTGGTCTAGTGAGTTGGGACTCAATGATCTGTGTAAAACAGAAGGGATCATAGGCGTGGATAATTGGAATGGCTGGAATTTTTCATCCACTGGTTGAGGAATGTGACTCACTCCCTCTAAAATAAGAAAATCTGCCATTGGGAGTGGGACCACAGCCCTGAACCAGATGCCACAGAAGAGCCACACCAGGAAGAGCATCCTTGTTCCTCTGGCAGAGCCCTTCTAGTCCTTTTAACAGGAGCCAAACAGCTTGAGGGTGGGTCATTCCCAGGCAGAGACCCCACCTATAATATGGTCAAAAGATATAGCTTATTATTTGAGGCTATCTCAACACCTTTCACAACTATATGCATATATTTGAGTCATTTTCTAAACCCTAAAATGGGAATATCTTATATTTTCTAAAGATTTTGAAAAGCTGAGATGAAAGAACAAAGACAAAAAAAAAAACAAAAACAAGAAAATCATAGCCACAAACATGATTACCACACTGCAGTATTCTGAAGAGCCACTCCCCACCACATTCTTAACATTCCTAAATCAGTACAAACATTTTCTCTACAGTCTTCATGAGAGCAACGGATTTGCTAAAACTGAACCTAGAAAATATTTACATATGCCAAAGTTCCTATTAAATGCTAGGCTTTTAAACTAATGCCCAACAAACATGGTAAAGAATGAGATGAAAGAAAAGGAGAGAGTGAGAAGACACTGATTATACCTCAAACTGTTTCAGGCTACCTCATCCTGTATGCATTCACTAATGAGCTCAGAAGAAAAATTCTGACTATTTCTGCTCTCTGACATTCACATAGCTTACAGAAAACTATTATCAGGAAATATAGCCAAAGAAATAAGCCCTGCTAATGAGTCCAAATTCTCAAAAGCTATTTGCCTATAAGTTCTTCAGAATAGATTTTACCAGAGCCAAAATGTGCTTAAAAGGAAATTTCCTTAAAACCCAGGATCCATTTTTAAGTGTGTGTAAATAAAAATATCCTTTTTATACAATGCAATGTCACTTACTATCATGTCAAACTGGAAAAAAAAATCAGCATTCAATATAGCAGACCAATGATCAAAACGTAACTAACTTTCAGGGAGGGTGGTAAGCATTTAGTTATGCCCCGTCTGGCAAAAATTTTATTTGCTTTATGTTACTTGCAGGCCACAACTTCTCCAGCTCATCTGGTGCATGCAAACACAACAGACACTCCCAGATGAAAATAATATATGGTTTCTCCATTACTTGAAAAACAAAAAAGACTAGTATCTGAGAGCAAGCAATTGATGCTCTATTCCATATTCAATCTTATCACCCCAAATATTTTCTGCCTTGTCATCTATTTTTGAGATTTGAGTTAAGAATGAAGGTTCTCAGAATAAAACCTATCCACTGGCATTACTACCCAACATATATGTAAGCTATTAGACAGTCATGGGGTTAGAACATATCCAAGCCACAGTATTAGCCTCAGGTCATAAATCAAATAAAAATCCCACCCAATTAAGGGCCCTATTCTTTGAACAATATGAGTTTACTGTCATGTTTGGATACTGAAAAGAGTTTTTGCAATCTGTTTCTCATCTGCTGTCCATTACTTGTACACTTAAAAAATGTGTTTTACAACTTCAGCGAATGCACACATGCCAAAAACACCACTTTTTAAAATCATGGGGGCATGAATTCACACTATAATAATGCAACCGTATATGACAGCTGAAATCAGATCTGTAAATGTCTAATTACCAAATTTATAAATTATGATTTTTAAAATAGTTATCTACTATGTCCACACAGTATGGTAGCTGCTATCTACAAAACGAGATTAATCTTCCCTACAACACTTACGGGTAAATATTAACACTCTCCTACAGACAAGAAAAATAAGGCTCAAAGAGGTAGCTCACCTCACAGAAGGTGAAAGAGCTGGTAAGAGGAGGAATCACACCTGGAGTTTGTAAGCCCAGGTCCAATGCCGCATTTCAAATACTTCACCTCCTATCCATCTACCTTCAATACGATCTTTATATTTTAAAATCCAAGCCAACTAATAAGTGTCATCATTTCCTTTATCTGGTAAAAATCAGTACAATAGGTATGAGTTTAGGTTCCAGAAGTGTTTTGACTTTAATACTCACATTTCCCAATATGATTGTAAGTTCAGCAAATACCTTTAAGCACTGACACTGCAACTAAGGGATGCGGGTGATATTCTCACTGTCATGGCACTAAAATTCAGTAGAAGGATGTGTCCATGCAGAGCTCAGGATACCTCATAGGGAACCTCAGGAAGCCGAGGCTAGCTCACATGAGAATGGCAGGGTGGGCAGCAATGGGCAAGACAGCAGGTACGAGCCAGCTGTGGCCCAACAAGTAGGGCCAGCCTGGGGAAAACAGTAACCATGGTTACAGCTTGGATTAAGCTCATGTCTACATGTTCGTCATGGCGAACTGGGATAAGGAATTACTAAAATGTGGCAAATGTAAAGATACCTATATGGTTAGTTTTGGTGTTTGGATAAGGGAGGAAAGGTAGCATAGCCCCACTTCTTGATGAAGTATAATGGGGTTACAGTATGAGAGTAAATCTGATAATGCAAACCAGGCATTTGGAAAATATGTAATAGAACAGCAGTTTTTAAAGTTGGTCCACAGACTCTTGGGGGTCTCAAGTCCAAAAGGTCAAAGCTATTTCCATAATAATTCTATCATGTTATTGGCCTTATTTACTGTGTTGCCATTTGGACTGATGGCGGGTCAAACTGCTGGTGTCTTAGCATGAATAATGGCAGAGGCACCCAACTATATGAATAGTCATTTTGTTTTTTACCACTACCCAGTACCAGTTCAAAACATAAACAACAGGCAGTTTCACTCAAGGTCTGTAACCAAGCAATAACAATTATAAATGTTATTAAACCTCAACCCTTGAACTTACGTATCTTTAATATTCTATGTGACAAAATAGGAAGTACACATGAAGCACTTCTGATGTATGATGGTTCTGCAAAGAAAAAGAACTTGTGTGATTATGTTGCAAGCTGAACCACCTGCTGTTTTCATGGAACACCATTTTTTTATTTGAATGAATGACTGAAAGGCAGATGATGGTTTTCCAGACTGGTTATTTGGCAAAGATTTTCTTGAAAATATATAAAGTAAGCCCATTACTTCAATGAAAACTCACTGTATCTGTTGCCAATAATAAAATTCCAGCTTTCAAAGGAAAATTAGAATTTTTGCCAACTTGTATTTGCCACCATGAGCTTGACAGCTTCCCAGTACTGAAGAACCTTTCTGATAAGATCAGTGGTAATATTAATAAATGCAATGATTTTGATAACAAATAATAAAATCTGTCACTATTTGGAAGATCTGCATAACTCAATCTATGAATATTTTCCAAGGGACAAATGTATGATGTTACAAAATCACGTGTGGATAACAGTTCCATTCAAAATGCAAGATAGACCAGTGTATTTTACAGTACAGAAAGTTCATTGATATTGTTTCATTTTCTCCCTTGTAAGAAATCCTTAAGAAACTACCATTTGTCAAGTTTTAGTACAGTATTAGAGAAGAATACCCAAAATTACCTGAAAAGAGTATTAAAATGATCCTTTCTTTTCCAGCTACATATTTGTATGAGGCCCAGTTTCTACATAAACCAAAATAGGCACAACAGATTGAATGCAGAAGGAGATATAAGAATCCAGCTGTCTTCCCTTAAATCAGACACTAAAGAAATCTGTGAAAATGTAAAACAATACTTTTTTCAGTAAAGATTTTTGTTCTTAGAAGATAGTTATTTTCTCATAAAAATATATTATTTCATCAACATGTAATGGGTTTATTTTTAAATAAATTTGTTAAATAATTTAGAATCCCTTAGTTATAATATCTAATCCAAAATATTGATAAATATAAGCCACATATACTTAAGCTCATTTGGGTTCTCAAGGAGTTAAGACAGCAAAGAGGTCCTGTGAACAAAAGTTTGAAAACCCCTATAGCAGAGTACTGTATTCCAGATGGAGATGAGGAAATGGTTCCTGAATATTGTGGCTCATTCTGCCTCTGGTCATGAGGTACTTGGTTTCAATATTAAATGTCTTGTTTAGATATTTTAAAGGGGAAAGTAAGTTGCATCTCGGGGACTCCAAGGCCTTCAACAGCAGCATCTTCTTGACACTTCTTCAGGTATTCTTATTCAGCAGGTGGGAAACACAAGCAAAGGGGAAGGGAAAAACCGTTAACACCAGCCTTGTGGATTCACACTAACATTTATTCACCTTTACTGTGAATGTCACTGGGTAATCTTCCTGGGGACATTCTTTTGGGTTTGAGATGGGGAAAGAGGAAGGGTTACTACCTGTTCCTAATTTAACAAAAAAGTATAATGGAAAAGAAACTGAGGAATTGAGTGCTTCAAAAATGTCCCTCAATCTATCAGTTGTTACTAGGAAGAATCACTGCTCACTACTAGGCCTGACTTAAAAGGAGGCCTGACTTGTAGGGCAAGTCACTGGCAGTGCTCCCTGGGGAAAGCATCAGTACTCAACTGCTCATCCAATACACAGGTATCCAGGCACTGCAATGAAAGAAAATTTGGGTTTAAACTCAACTTGGGAATTAATGGCTTCATTTTTGGCATAACTCACAAAGCCACACTGCATGTTCTATACATTAATACTTTAAAATTAAACTCATGTTAAGATCAACTAGATTTTCATAGCACCTTTCTTTAGGAATTAAAAACATCACACAATTGCTATTAGTAGCAATTAATGAGTTCTGTTCCTAAAAGGAAATGAAAAACAAAAAAATAATTTCACAGAGGGGGGATAAATCACCAAATAGGAAGAGTAGTAACTTCTTTAAAGGATCAAAATTTAGTATGGGAGTCACTTCAGAAATATACTTCTGTAACCTTTTGGAACCAAGATTAGTGCTTAACTAGATGTTGGCCTGGTCCACTAATGATTTATTATACATTATCTGAACTCCTTCCAGAGACAGTATTGACAGAACAGTATATTAGCAACTTTTTAAAAGATCATACATTTCTATGTCTTATATTTTCATAGGCCACCACACCCCGCAACTTAGCATATTCCCTGGCAAACTATAGGTACTCAATAAATAACTTCATTTGTTTTAAATGTTTAATAGCTGGGGCTGGAGTCGGGAGGACAATTTTCTTTAGGATACTTGGAAGTATCTGGTGGTTGCTTTTATAAAACATTGCAAAAAGCAGTTAGAAGGAGGTGGTTAATTGCAATAATAAACATGGTTGAAATGGAAACTATTGATTGAAGGAGAAAAACTTCAGAGCAAGGGACACAACAGAAGGGATGAAAATTTATAATTCAGAAGGTTCTATACTCAATAAACATTTGTGGAATAGCTTCTTCCCCAAGGGAAGCAGATGAAAAAGAAATACATTATCTGGAGGCCTCACTGAGAGCTATCAACCAGCACTTCACACCTCTGTTCGTCTTGCCTGGACATCTGAGGTTGAGGTGAATTATCTGTAGGGGTGTTTTCCTCTGAGGTCCCCATGTAGACTGAAAATAAGTTTGGCTCAAAGTCTTCCAATCTTAGAGAATGGCATTAATGCTAGAATTACTGTAAATAGTAATAGTTGCAACTTTATGTTTAGCATCAAAAGGAACCTTGGCTTTGACCTAGGTAGTTGTATCATAATTTTTGTAAATAGCATCCATTGTTTATAAAGACAGATTAATGTTATTTCAATGCTGCTGTTAAATAATGTATGAAAGTACTTAAGATGATGATAAAATGGTCTCAGATGTCACCATTCATGGATAGGGAAGCCTGGATCACAGTGCCAACCACATCCTGACATACAGAAGTGTTTTCTTTAGTTGCACAGTATGTTAAAGGTGGGAAATTCTGCATCAAAATCTGACTAGCTCCTCTTGGGATGATGTGGGGGAAACATGTAATCTTTCAAAAGTGGGCCTGCATTCCAGTGTAATGGTAATCAACTGGATCTGAGCCACGATGCTATATACACAACTCACACACTTGTGTACCCTCCACTTGGCCACCTATCACCATTCCTTCTTGCCTTCATTCAGCCCACCTCATTCAGGGAATTTGATTTCCCTGTCCAGCTCCATTGATGGTTGAGTTAGAAACCCCTAGCCTATCTAGCTGTGTCACACAAGAATATCTTGGCGCATCTCTCAATGGGGCCAGATACCTAAAATACAGGTTCAGAATACAGAAAGAAATTACTTCTTTGGGGCTATCACTGGAAGCCAAAGATGAACGTTAGGGAAAACAACACAATTGTTCAATTATGTCAAAATTACCAAGGTTCTTCCAACCTAGAAAACTAAAATCTCTGCTATTGATTACTCTTTAGGTCAAGAGTATCTGATAACATTCAGTACAGCAGTAACACATCTAAGAATGCAAATTGAGGAGTTAGCATTTTCTGAGATCAGCCTATCTAGACTGCTACTATAGCTAGGGAATGCTAAAACACCTGGAACAATGTGATAGCTGGCCTGGCTACTTACATTTTCAAGGACAAAGATATTTGCTGTATAGACCTCCAAAGAAATGGAACCGAGATAATGCATTTTAATATCTACATGAGCTTTTAAATGTCTGCAACGATGATGGGGATTGATTGGACACTTGACTATTTATTGGCATAGGTTATTATGAAAGAGTAAAAATACTCAGACACATTGGTAATAGCAGATTGTACCCTGGAAATAAAAGTTAGGACTTTTGTTGGATCTAGAGTAAAATTTTTATTAATATTAGAAGCTGACACAATAGAAATGAAGTTATTTGAGCTTTTCACATATTTTCTAGAAATCTAGCAATGAAAACAACATCTATATGGTAAATAACCTGTGTTAAGTCCTACAAGGTTTGGAAAAGAAAAAAAAAATAATTTGTTGAATGCCTGTTCTAGAGGTTATACACTTTTTGCCTTCGGTCATTCCTCAGCTTTGAGGTAACTGACAAAGTGAATGGTCACCAATTTTTGCAAGAGGCATATGTCTTGCATGATGGCTGCAAACAATGAAGACAATCTTTCCTAGGATCTTTAGTTCAGGCTACTTATTTACTAAGACCAAGAGACGTTTTTAACACTTAAGGGCAATAGTTAATAATCCTTTTGTATTTTTTTAAGCTGAAGAATCCAATAAGGTGAAAAGTTTATATCTATAAGAACACAGAAGAAAATGTATAAACCAACTCCATGCCTAGTACTCAATCCTAACTTACTATGTAAAGCAACTCACTCCACCTGTTCCCTTGGGCAATAGTTTGACTTGAAGGATCTAATAAGATAGATTTTTTTTTTAACTTTTAGTCTTCAAAGTGTCTTTGAATAAAGGTGAAAATATAAAATTCTAGCATATCCCAAATGCAAAATGGAAAATTAATGTCATCTAGCAATTAGAAAAATTATCTGCCATAGTAGAGCCTTTATAATAGCTGCACATTTGTCTTTCTTGACCTGATAGGCTTAGATCATGTCTAAGTCACAATCATCTCATTTACAGCTTCTAGCACAGGGCTTTGCAGCTAAGAGTGTCAGTAAATACTTGAACACCCATAAACTATAGAATATATGAAGATCAAATGTGTATACATATTACTAAAAAAGTTCTTACTTTTTTTAAGAATTAAGGAGTATTTTGAAAATCTCAAGTTTCACTTGCATGCAACCATGGTTTACTAAAGTACATCATTAAAATAATGTAATGGAGAAAAATTATGATCATACATACTATTTAAAATTAAGTAAAGAAGTATTTCAATTCATTTTGCTATTTGTTCTAAATATAATATTCAAATATTCATAGGTATGTGGATGATTGTGCTTTCATTTGTTTTATAGGATTACCTGAAAACGTATGGCTTGTATAAGCCAAGCTTTAAGAATAATTAAGCACACAGCCTTCATAAAGCTAAGAATTCAGTCCCAGTTCTCTTCATCTTGCCTTGGTTTCTCTAGCAGGAATTAAGATATGAATCAAAAAAAAAATTTTTTTTTTAGACAGGGTCTCACCTCTGTCATCCATGCTGGAGTGCAATGATGCAATCATAGCTCACTGCAGCCTCAACATCTTGGGCTCAAGTAATCCTTTGACCTCAGTCTCCCAAGTAGCTGGGACCACAGGTACACAACACCACACCCAGCTATGTTTTCTTTTGGTAGAGATGAGGTTTCACTATGTTACCTAGGTTGAGCTCAAAAATCCTCCTGCCTTGGCTTCCCAAAGTGCTGGGATTACAGGAGTGAGTCACTGTGCCCAGCTCACAATTCTTAATGTATGGTTAAGTATGAACAAGTGTGAGATGATAAAGAACACAGCTGGAGTAGTTTCCTCTCTTTCTCCTCCAGATCTTGCTATGTTCCTGTGAAGAGAAGAAAGTGATACGACAGTGGGATGGAATCTGT
The DNA here is from genome assembly GCF_000001405.40 of Homo sapiens. Classification (NCBI taxonomy): domain Eukaryota; kingdom Metazoa; phylum Chordata; class Mammalia; order Primates; family Hominidae; genus Homo; species Homo sapiens. The sequence goes on along the minus strand of NC_000002.12, from coordinate 204,657,098 downwards.
GCATCAAACAGTATGGCCTAGAACTCTTCAAAGTCTAATACAATCACTTGACCCAGGTCCCCAAGAAGCAGCAGTTCTAAAATTACAAATAAGACCAAGGCACTCACTCTGGGTATCCAGAGACATCATGATCTTACTCTTAATGGCTCAGATTGTGACTTCAGAACATTACAACTGTGCCTAGAACACAAAGGCACAGACAAAAGTGAAATAACACAGGAGCTGCTTCTATTCCAAATCATTTAAAGCTTATTAAAATCTCAACATGAGGACAAGGTGGTACATGAGGGTTTAGGCATTTGCTCTCACTATTTGCACAAGTCTTTCTGATGAGCCCACAGTGACAGATACTGTGAAAAAATATTTAGAATGTAGAAGGTAGGTCACATTAAGAAATAACACATGAAACATGCCTACCTTTCAAAAATGTAAAACTGGAAACATGGACAGTGCTTATGAAGAGTACCATGAAAAGAGGAGATCTGAGTTCATAGTAATAGTTCCACTTCTGTCAAGAATGTGATTTAAGGACTGGGTGGCTCTCAACATTTCTAGGTGTTTCTTAATTTATAAGGAATTGGCCTAAAATAGTCTCCTTACCCCTAAACTTTAAGACTGTAAACAGTGAAGTAGATTGGAAAATGACACTAAAACAAGTTATCATACCAGGAATAACTTTGGAATTAAGTTGCTCATACTGCCCATACATGTTTGTTTGTTTGTTTGTTTGTTTGTTTTCTATCATGTAAACCTTCCATATATCTGTATTCAATGCCTTCTACTGACTTTTCTACTTCAGGAAGTCTGATTATCAATTAAAGGTGCAATCGTAGATCGATTATAAAAAATGGTCCAAGTTATTTCCCACCATGTATCTACAGCCTTTGCCATGCAACTCTGCAGCACTTCTCATCAAAAGGTGAAGTCTATTTCCATTCCCTCTGAATGTTGGCTGGCTTTGTGATTTGCAGTGGCCAATAGAATGCTGCAGAAATAATAGTGTGCCAGTTCTGAGCCTAGATCTCAAAAAGCCTTGAGCACTTCTGCTTGCTTCTTAGAACATTTCCTTTGCTATGAGAAAAGGCCCAGACTAGCCTGCTGGAGAAGAAGCCACCAAAGATAAGTCTACTTAGCTGCATCTATTCTAAACCAGCCTACAACCTTCTCACCCCAAAATACCTGAAAGGGCCCAGACAAGATCAGCTGAGACAAATTTCCAGCCTGTGGCTAACCGTGGACAAATGAGTAAACACAGTCAAAACTGGAAGAATAGCACAGCTGACCCACGGACTTGCAGGCAACAATAAATGATTATCACTTAAGCTACTGGGTTTGTGGTTGTTATTCAGATATATATGCTGACCTCCTTTAATCCTCCACAACAGATTTAAACACATTTCTATGTCTCCATTGTACATGTTCACACAGCTAGCGCTTATCACATCATAGGACAACTAAACATAGTATGTCCTGGGTCATGATCTCCTCCAGGACCACTTCCCCAATTCCTAATACACTATAAACATGCTTAATACATGTTGAATAGTAATGAATGAAGTATAATTTCAGAAAACATTCTAAATTAGGGAAGGGCACTTAAAACTTTTGCAAGGTAGAATGACTTTGGCACTTGCGTAACAGCAGTGAGGAAAACGCATCCAGGAATGCAGGCAACAAATGGGGGCATCTTATATAGAACAGACAAGCAGAGTAAATCAGAGAGAAGCAAGATTCTGAGGAAGAGAAAGGAATGTAGCTACTATGTGGAAATTCAAGCAGGGATATTGGGATATTGCATAACTTTAGGGAGCAGTATCAGCTGACTGAAGCACTGAGCAATCTGTAGCCTTGAATGCAGGAGTGTTGCTTAAAAATGGACAGAGTTTTCCAAAAAGAGATACTTATTGGTAACTGGACAAGGAATTTAGCTATAGAACTAAGGGGAGAATCAACAGGAAGAGATGTGTACTTGCAGCCAATGAAATGATGACATGTCTCTAAAGTCATGAGCTTTCTCTTCTACTCTCAGATATCACCCAGTGTGTGCAACCAAGACTTAAAGCAACAAATCTAAGTATTTCTGGGGGAGACAAGTGTTGCTCCCTTGGAGCTGCTGTTCCACAGCAGTAGATTTCAAGATCCTCTTGTTTTAGGAGGTCTCAAAGAGTCCTGCTCTCAATGTACTGGATAGTCTGCTCGGTCCACCAGAGACTATGAAACATCTACTGTTTAAGAAAGTTTCTTTAGAGGATAAACTTGCCCCAACAAAAACCTGGGCACTGTGCCCAGAAATAAACAAAAAATAAAGAATTTATTCCTATTCAAGTGAGTATTATGCTTCAAAATAAAAACTCCAAAGGAAAAGAGCTTATCACCAATAATGAAGTTCCAGTTCCTGGTAAAACACTTCCCTCAAGAAGTCCCTCCAAAAATCTCAACTTCAGAGATACTTTTTAGAGACAGTTTCTCATTATCCATGTTCCAGTGAAAAACTAAAATCCACTATATGGATATAAAAAACACTGCCCTATCACTCATGGCATGAGAACTTCCTATCTGTAGAAAGACTATCTCCTCAAATCAGCTAAAATGGCAGAAAAACCCAACATCACCACATTCCATTTACTTCCCCAGCAGAGTTCTTCATTACCAGGTAACAGAGTTATCTGTGATGATACTCAAGAAAGCTCAGTGAGGAATACACGGGAATAGAAGCAACTATTCACCCATGATACTAGGAATAAATCCTCATGTTTATGGTTCCACATCAAAATTAGAAACTAACCCCTTTTATTCAAGAACCTGCATTAGGTTGTCACGATCCTTTCTTCGTTTCCCCCCTCAGCCTGGATAAATCATCTTGCCTTCCTTATATGAAAGGTATTAGATGAACACAGGCACACTCACCATAAGTTAACCAAGAAGTGGGGTCTCAGGCAAAAGCTCACCTTTCTAAGACTCTACATTTTGCAAGATTATCCTCACATCACCTCCTTGCTGAGACACAGATAAAGAGGACCACACAATAAGACGTGAAGATGCAGTAGCCAATGAAGACACACAAGAGGAATTTTTATTGCAGAAGTTTTTAAACTGGAGACTCTCATATGATTGCATGCAAAATTATTTATGTATATGCATGTTCATAAATGTACATTTGTATCTGGGGAAATAGTGTACGTTGTCATCAGACTCTCAAACTTTCCTCCCAAATTTAAGGACCAGTGCTTCATTAGGTTAAACTAATCTCAGACATCAGGTCCCCTTGAATGCTGAATGAATATTTCAACTTCTTTTTTTTTTTTTTTTTTTTGAGACAGAGTCTTGCTCCATCACCCAGACTGGAGTGGCATGATCTTGGCTCACTGCAACCTCCGCCTCCTGGGTTCAAGCAATTCTCCTGTCTCAGCCTCCCTAGTAGCTGGGACTACAGGCGCCCGCTACCATGCCTGGCTAATTTTTGTATTTTTAGTAGAGATGGGGTTTCACCTTGTTGGTCAGGCTGGTCTCAAACTCCTGACCTCAGGTGATCCACCCACCTCGGCCTCCCAAAGTGCTGGGATTACAGGCATGAGCCACTGTGCCTGGCCCTTTCAACATTTTTTTTAAGACTGACCTAAAGCTGCCATAGATCATGAGAGGTTATGCTAAGAGTCTGGATGCCACATATAGCAACACAGTGCTCTGACAGGTGTTTATCAAAAACACATTGTATTTACAAGTGAAAAGTTACTTTAACGTTTTAAAAGTATATCTAACAGAAGGGGTTACAATGACTTTCTTTTTTCCATAATAGCTAGGTTTTTTTTTTTTTAATTTTAACTTTTATTTTAGGTTCAGGGGTACAGGTGTACGTTTGTTATGTAGGTAAATTGGTGTCATTGGGGTTTCATTTACAGATTATTTCATCACCCAGGTACTAATCCTAGTACTCAATAGTTATTCTTTCTGATCCTCTCCTTCCTCCCAACCTCCACCTTCAAGAAGATCCCAGTGTCTGTTGTGTCCATGAGTTTTTTGTGTCCATGAGTTTTTGATATGGTTTGGCTCTGTGTCCCCATCCAAATCTCATCTTGAATTGTAATCCCCATGTGTCGGGAGAGGGGCCTGGTGGGAGGTGATTGAATAATGGGGGCAGACTTCCCCTGCTATTGTCATGATAGTGAGTGAGTTCTCAGGAGATCTGGTTGTTCGAAACTGTGTAGCACTTCCCCTTTCACTTGTACTCTCTCATGATCCACAATGGTAATATGTGCTTGCATCCCTGTCACCTTCCACCATGGTTGTAAGTTCCCTGAGTCCTCCCATTCATGCTTCCTTGTTAAGCCTGCAGAACTGTGAGTCAATTAAACCTCTTTTGCTCATAAATTACCCAGTCTCAGGTAGTTCTTTATAGCAGTGTAAAAATGGACTAATATAGAAAATTGGTATTAGTGGAGCACTGCTACAAAAATACCTAACAATGTGAAAGCAACTTTGGAACTTGGTAACAGGCAGAGGTTGGAACAGTTTGGAGGGCTCAGAAAGAGACAGGAAGATGTGGGAAAGTCTGGAACTTCCTAGATACTTGTTGAATGGTTTTGACCAAAATGCTGCTAGTGATATGGACAATGAAGTCCAGGCTGAGGTGGTCTGAACTGGGGTAATGGTCACCCTTGCTATGCTTTAGTGAAGAGATTGGTGATGTTTTGCCCCTGCCCTAGAAACTTTGAACTTGAGAGAGATGATTGAGGATATCTGGTGGAAGAAATTTCTAAGCAGCAAAGCATTTACAATGTGACCTGGCTGCTCCTAATGCATACAGTCGTGTGCATTCACAAAGAGATGGCCTGAAACTGTAACTTATGTTTAAAAAGGAAGCAGAGCAAGAAGTTCGGAAAATTTGCGCCTGGCCATGTGGGAGAAAAGAAAAACTGATTTTCGGGGGTGGGGGTGATTCAAAGCTGCAGAAATTTGCATAAGTAAAGAAGAGCCTAATGTTAATAGCCAAGACAATGGGGAAAATGTCTCCAGAGCATTTCAGAGATCTTCACAGCAGCCCCTCCCATCACAGGTCCTGAGGCCTAGGAGGGAAAGATGATTTCATGGGCCAGGTCCAGGGCCTAGATGTTCTGTGCTGCCTTGGGACATGGTGCCCCACATCCCAGCCACTCCAGTTCCAGCCATGGCTGCGAGGCCAAGGTACAGCTTGGGCCATAGCTTCAGAGGGTGCAAGCCCCAAGCCTTAACAGCTTCCACATGGTGTTTGGCCTGTGGGTGTGCAGAGGGCAAAAGGTGAGCTTTGGGAGCCTCTGCCTAGATTTCAGATAATGTAAGGAAATGCCTGGATGTTAAGGCAGAAGTCTGCTGCAGGGACAGAAACCTCATGGAGAATCTCTACTGGGGTAGTGTGGGGAAGAAATGTAGGATTGGAGCCCCCATACACAGTCCCCACTGGGGCACTGCATAGTGGAGCTATGAGAAAAGGGCCACCATCCTCCACACCCCAGAATGACAGATCCACTGACAGCTTATACCATGTGTCTAGGAAAGTCACAGACACTCAACACAAGCCCATGAAAGCAGCAAAAGGGGCTGTATCCTGCAGAGCCACAGGGGCAGAGCTGCCCAAGGCCATGGGAACTCACCTCTTGCACCAGTGTGCCCTGGATGTGAGACACAGAGTTAACGGAGATTATTTTGGAGCTTTAAGATATAATGAGTGCCCTGCTGGGTTTTGGACTTGCATGGGGCCAACAGCCCCTTTCTTTGGGTCAATTTCTCCCATTTGGAATGGGAGCATCTACCCAATGCCTGTACCCCCATTGTATTGGAAGTAACTAACTTAACTTGCTTTTGATTTTACAGGCTTATAGATGGAAGGGACTTGTCTTGTCTCTGATGAGACTTTGGACTTGGGCTTTTGGGTTAATGCTAGAATGAGTTAAGACTTTGGGGGACTATTGGGAAGGCATGATTGTGTTTTGAAATGTGAGAAGGACATGAGATTTGGCAGGGGTCAGCGGCAGAATAATATGGTTTGGCTCTGGGTCCTCACCCAAATCTCATCTCAAATTGTAATCCCATGTCAGGGGAGAGACCTGGTGGGAGGTGACTGAATCATAGAGGTGGACTTCCCACTTGCTGTTCTCATGATAGTGTGTGAGTTATCCTGAGATCTGGTTGTCTGAAAGTGTGTGGCACTTCCTCCTTCTCTCTCTCTCTCTCTCTCACTCCCCCATGGTAAGATATGCTTGCCTTCCCTTCATTTTCCACCATGATCATAAGAGTCCTGAGGCCTCCCAGGCATGCTTCCTGTTAAGAATGCAGAACAGTGAGTCAACTAAACCTCTTTTCTTCATCAATTACCCAATCTCAGGTAGTTCTTCATAGCAATGTGAAAATGGACTGATACAGTTGTCATCATTTAGCTCCCACTTACAAGTGAGAACATGCAGTATTTGGTTTTCTGTTCCTGTGTTAGTTTGCTAAGGAAAATGGCCTCCTACTCCATCCATGTTCCTAAAAAGAACATGATCTCATTTCTTTTTATGGCTGCATAATATTCCATGATGTATATGTACCACATTTTCTTTATCCAGTCTATTATTGATGGGCATTTAGGTTGATTCCATGTCTTTGCTGTTGTGAATAGTGCTGCAATGAACATTTGCATGCATGGGTCTTTATGGCAGAATGATTTATATTCCTTTAGGTGTACACCCAGTAATGAGATTGCTGGGTTGAATGGTCATTCTGTTTTTAACTCTTTGAGGAATTGCCACACTGTCTTCCACAATGGTTGAACCAGTTTACAGTCCCACCAATAATGTGTAAGTGTTCCCTTTTTTCCACAACCTCACTAGCATCTTATTTTTGGCTTTTTAATAATAGCCATTTGGATGGGTTTGAGGTGGTATCTCATTGTGGTTTTGTTCTGCATTTTTCTATTGATCAGTGATATTGAGCTTTAATATGCTTGTTTGCTGCATGTATATCTTCTTTTGAAAAGTGTCTGTTCATGTCCTTTGTCCACTTTTTAATGGGTTTTTTTTCTTGTAAATTTAAGTTCCTTATATATACTGGATATTAGCCCTTTGTCAGATGCATAGTTTTCAAATATTTTCTCCTGTTCAGTAGGTTATCTGTTTACTCTGTTGATAGTTTCTTTTGCTGTGCAGAAGCTTTTAAGTTTAATTAGATCTCACTTGTCAATTTTTGCTTTAATCGGAATTGCCTCCGGCATCTCCAAGATGAACTCTTTGCCCATTCCTAAGTCCAGAGCAGTATTGCCTAGGTTGTCTTCCAGCTTTTTATAGTTTTGGATTTTACATTTAAGTCTTTAATCCATCTTGAGTTAATTTTTGTATATGGTTTAAGGAAGGTGTCCAATTTCAATTTTCTGCATATGGCTAGCCAGTTATCCAAGCAGCATTTATTGAATAGGGAGTTTTTTCCCCATTGCTTGTTTTTGTCAGCTTTGTCAAAGATCACATAATTGTAGGTGTGCAGCCCTATTTCTGGGCTCTCTATTCTGTTCCATTTTTTTGTGTGTCTGGGTGGTGGTGGTGGTGTTGTTTACCAGTACCATGCATAATAATGATGTTTCTTTCTCATCTTTCCAAACACACCCACATACAGAGTAAAAATGTAAGGAAACTCCTTTGTGGGGATGGGTGGTTTAGAACTCATGCATACAAAACAGGGAAGAAAGTAGACACACACATCCAATGACACTATCATTAAAACAATTTTCAATTTCTCCTTGGAAAACAGTGTGACAAAAGGTTAGTACTCAAAATACATAAAAAATAGACTCTTAAAACTCAATAATATGACAAATAAACCAAAAAACACAATGGACAAAAGATACAAGCACACACTTTAAATAACATGTTCAACATCACTTGACAACACAAGTGTTGGCAAGGATGTGGACCAACCAGAATGCCCATACATTGCTGGTGGGAATATGAAATGGTGCAAGAACTGTAGACAATGATTTAAAATTGTCTTATTTTAAAGCTTTATATATTATTTATATGATATATATTATAAATATATATTATTTATATGATATATATTATAAATATATATTATTTATATGATATCTATTATAAATATATATTATTTATATGATATCTATTATAAATATATATTATTTATATGATATCTATTATAAATATATATTATTTATATGATATATATTATAAATATATATTATTTATATGATATATATTATAAATATATATTATTTATATGATATATATTATAAATATATATTATTTATATGATATCTATTATAAATATATATTATTTATATGATATCTATTATAAATATATATTATTTATATGATATCTATTATAAATATATATTATTTATATGATATCTATTATAAATATATATTATTTATATGATATATATTATAAATATATATTATTTATATGATATATATTATAAATATATTATATATATAATATATATTATATATAAATTATAGTATATATAAATATAAATATATTATATATAATATAATATATAATATATATTTATATTTATATATTTTAAAGCTTTATATATTAAAGCTAAATATATGCTTGCCCACAACTCATAATGAATTACTAAGTATTTACCCAAGAGAAACAAAACATGTCTAAAAATACACTTGTCCATGAATGTTCATAACACCTTTATTCATACCGGCAAAAAAACTGGAAACAACTGAAATGTGATATATCCAACAATGGAATACCACCAGTGGGCATCTAATGGTGGATATGAAAGTATATACATATTTTAAAGCTCAAAAGGTATTAAAATTTATGCATTTTATTATGTGTAAATTATACCTCAATAAGTTTTATTTTTAAAATATAGATTATGGTCACAAAGAAATGAGATTAAATTCTCATGATAAACCAATGTATTAAGTACCTATTTATATGGTCATGAATGTAATTCCAAAACTGCATTCAAAATTTGAGAAGCAGCAGTACTTTCTAAATACTTGCATAACCTCAAAAATAACTCCTTTGAAGCTACAGATATATAATTTTCTACACATTTAATAAGATCAGTCTTACTATTGCGTAGTCACCTTCTCCAAATATACACAAAAATTAACCTTTAAAAAGTATAATTATACTCATAATATTTATAATATTCATAATATATAATACTCAAAATAAGGCAAAATAATGTGTAGACTCTAGAATTATGTCATAGCATTTGTGTTAGCACTCAAAGTTTAATATCTCCTTTAAGTAACAGATGTTCTGCCTTTCTGTTACATTATTTGTACTTTTTAATGTTTTGCAGCTTTTAAATCATATTGTGGCACTCTTATCTCCTCCAAAAAACTTAATTTAGCACATGTATATATGGAATTTAATTACCCATTGCATATTCTATCCCTGTTCTTCTTAAAGAAAACTCTCAGAACTGCAGCCCTTAAAAACATTTAAATTATACTTCTAAAATATGTCTTCAAATTACTATTGGATATTGCATATGATCACAGTGTACCACTCCAGGGTACTTTAGAGACAGTGCAATATGGCCATTTTTCTTCCAGTCTTATTACATACAACTTAACCTGAATCCAACATTTTTTCAGTGAATTAGAAATAATGAAATGTCAAAAAAATATGCAAATAAGACAAAAGGTATAAACCACATACAAAAAAATTGAGAAATTTAGACTAAACTTCCAATCATAAAATGCAGCAAGGCACAAAATTAAAAAAAATACATGTATAACAAAACTGTATCCAACAAAGGACAGATATGCAGAATATAAGGAATGCCTCAAAAAACAAAAATGAACAACAGACAACCCAATAGAAAAAGACAAACAAAATACTTTACAGAAAAGAATAAACGACCAATAAACATCTAGAAAGGAACTCAACCTTATTGGTTATCCAGAAAATGCTAATTAAAACTACAATGAGATACCACTGAACACCCATTGAAATAGCAAAAGCAGTAACTAATACAGATGATCTCCAACTTACAGTGGTTTAACTTAAAACTCTTCGACTTTACGATGGTGTAAAAGCAATAAGCATTCAGTAGAAATTGTATCTTGAATTTTTGTCTTTTCCCAGGTTGGTCTTATGTGTTTCAATACTCTTAAGTTAGATATTCAACACTTTATTATAAAATAGAATTTGTAATAGATAATTTCGTCCAACTGTAGGATAATGTAAGTGTTCATAGAGTGTTTAAGGTAGGCTAAGCTATGATGTTCTGTAGGTTAGGTGTATTAAATGCATTGTTTACTTACTATATTTTCAACTTACCATTGGTTTATCAGGATGTGACCCCATTATAAAGGAGCAGCTGTAATACTAAACATACTCTAGGATGTGGAAGAACCAGAACTCTGATAATAGAAATATGAACTGGCACAACTAACTTGCAAAACTATTCTCATTATCTGGGAAGTGGAAAATGAATATAACCCTATGATCCACTCATCTATAAATTAAGGAAGATAATGTATGTACACACTGGTATGTCTCAGAATATTCATCACAACCCTGTTCACAATAGCCCCAGGTTAGAAACAACACAAATGGTCATCAAGAGAGTGGATAATTCACGTTTAATATATTAATATGAGGGAATGATTATAACTGAAAACTAACAACCTACAGCTTCACGCAATGACATGGATGAATCTCACAAACACTGAATGAAAGCATTCAGACACAACACTGTATGAGTACATTCATATACAGTTCAAAAAACACGAAAAACTAAACTGAATGTTTAGAGTCCTACATTAGGTAGGAAAGAAAAGAAAGGAATAATAATCACAACATTCAGGATAGTGCTTTCCTCTGCAGTAAGGGAAAAGTGTTTCAGCAGTGGCACGTGAGAACTTCTGGGGTGCAAGCAACATTCCATTTCTTCACCAGGGAAGTGGTAATACAAGTGCAGAGGTATGTATTTTATAATTTATAGCTTCTATTTAAAGTATATATGCTTTATGCATGTCTGTATATCTCCTATTTTTAAATGTGTTTAATTGAAAGAACATATGTCAAAACCAAATAAAACAATAAATCCAGAATGTTCTTTGGCTAGAACCAGAAAGCATCCTTAGACAAGAAGGAAGAGAGACACATTATAGCTAGAAGTAGAAAGCATCCTTAGACAAGAAGGAAGAGAGACACGTTATAGCAGTCACATCTAGTGACAAAATTCATTGAGTAAGCCATGAAAATACATTGATTATCCAGATACCTTATCTTAAAAATATTATACTTCCATGTCAAAAAAGCAAAGGAAGACATGACAGAAGATGCTTTTGGAATTGGAAATTGCCTTCTTTTAAAAGTTTAGTGAGATGCATTTGGCTCTAGTGAACCAAAAGAAGTTATATGGTCACTTCATATTTGTGTATTAAAATAATTCAGTCATCATTTAAGAAATACTTAGGTAGAAAGTACTAATACAAGAATGGGCTACTATGATGAGTCTAAGAGAGCTGACACCACAACTTGACAGCTAACTGACAGGCTGATGAACAGTAACATTTATGAGCAAAGGTTTAAGAGGCCTAAAGTTGGAATATGCAGGAAAATGCCTTAACTAATATGTCACATTAAGCCAAAGTACAGATTGTTGCCTAAGAAACCCATGAAACAAAATTTTTTTCTTCACATAATTAATGAACTGCTTATGAAAATAAAAATGTATTAATTTTTCTCTTGAATAATTTTTATTACAAAAACAATCAGCAAAATATGTATGAGTCATTGCCTAAATTCTGCACAGAACTGTCAATGGACACACTTTATTTTTCTCTTTTTCTAATAAATTGTCATGCTTAAGGATTTGCATATTTTATATCAGAGGGCCTGAGGTTTCCCCAGTGTTTGTTTAATATAGTTAAGTAAATACCATAGAGCCAATGAAGTGAGTAATACTCAGTTTGCTTCCATCTCAGCGTCAGTGACAGGATATGGGTGACTGTCAAATACACACAGAATGACTTTTCTCCATTTACAATCTCACAGCTTTAATATCAAATAAAATCTCTCCAGAACCCTTTTAAGAATCTAAAGACAAAATCACTTCTGCATAAATCCTGCCTAAACCACCCAAGATTTAAAAATGTACTTTGGTCAACAACTTTCATCGAGTATCTCTCTTAGGAAAGCAGCAACTAAAACAAAAAAAAAAATTTACTGGTTCCCAATATTTAAAAGGTTTTTCATACTTGCCATTTATGTTTATTCTCTAGCTCTCTGGGGAGGAATTTTTTTATAAAAGTATCATAAGAATATACAGTAAATATATTCAGATCCAACTCTTCCCATAAATCATGATATCATGTACCATAAACCTCATTTGGGATTCAGTGTATTCTAATATTTTTAAGTGGCATATTCTTAAGGAAAAAAACTGTCTATTTATCCTAGGAATAATCCTGTGGGACCCCACACACATTTTCTTTTATTAATAAATTAGTATACATTAATATCCAATTAAAATATTTTAAAATTTAAATTATTCTAACTCTCTAACTAGGGAAAATATTCTAATTTTGAAAGAGACCACATATTTTGCTTTTATTGTTAAAATATTCAGTGGAATTATTTTTCACTTTCAACTAACATAGTAATAATATGTTAATAAAAGAGTCTATATTGGTACATAAAAAAGACTTCCAAGACCACACATGAAAGCAAAATGGGCACCTCGGCAGGGTTGAGGTACAAACACACCCACACACAAAGATAGACACCCACACACCCATACAAAATCAACCAAAAGTATTTGCTTGATATGTATACCATGCACTTTGAGTAGTAAAATAAATGACTGTCCTTGTCCTTAAGGAACTTTCAGTCCCTATGTAGAGAAATGTGTCCCCATGAAAACATAACAGGAAGCATAATTTCAACTTTAGAGGAGGTGTAACATGGCTGGGTTTTAAAGGGTGGAAAAGGTCACTGGGCAAAAAGAACTACAGCAAGAATTCTAAATGGGATGGGATGAGATGTGTTACCAATGGAGTGGAGAAAGGAAAACAAGCCTCCTTCAGAGAACGAATAAATAAATTGCTGTTGCTAAAGGAAAGAATTCTTACAAGAGGCTTGAGAAGGGGAAGACTAGTTAAGGGTAGTGATCCACCAGTGTACAGACATGAAATACTGGACAGTGGGCCTTTGATGTCATCCTCGCAGTCAGGCTTCTACTTTTTAAATGTTGTATACTCAGGTTAGCTTCAGGAGGGACTAGTCATCAAGCCTGAATTTTATGCAAAGCACTGCATATATGAACTTTTTCTGGAGAATATGTCCAGAAGAATTTGCAGTTCTTAATCTGAATAAATAGGCAATTGCTAGTATCCTTTATAAGAGGGGTGTCCAATCTTTTGGCTTCCCTGCACCACACTGGAAGAAGAAGAATTGTCTTCTTCCAGTGTGGCCCAGTGTAGCCACACATAAAATATACTAACACTAACAATAGCTGATGAGCTTAAAAAAATCACAAAAAAATCTCATAATGTTTTAAGACAGTTTACGAATCTGTGTTGGGCCTCATTCAAAGCCGTCCTGCGTTGCATGTGGCCCCATGAGTCACAGGTTGGACAAGTTTGCTTTAAACCTTCAAGCTAAGGAGTCAAATTCGTAGAAAGACACTCAGTTCTACTGTAGACATGTGTTTGAGATGGTATGAAGATATTCAAAAAATAATGTTTATCAAGAGTTTGGAGAGGAGGGATGAAGTCCAGGACAGACTCCCTGGAAGGCAATGGGGAGTTAGGATGTAATTATGCTGTATTACAGACTGGGTAATTTATGGAAAAAAGAGGTTTGACTCACAGATCCACGGACTGTACAGGAGGCACGGCTAGGGAGGCCTCAGGAAACTTACAATCATGGCAGAAGGTGAAGGGGAAGCAGGCACAATCTTTACATGGTGGAGCAGGAGAGAGACAGCAAAGTGGGAGGTGCCAAACATTTTTTTTTTTTTTTTTTTTTGTGAGACAGAGTCTCCCTCTGTCGCCCAGGCTGGAGTGCGGTGGTGCGATCTCGGCTCACTGCAATCTGCGCCCCCCGGGTTCAAATGATTCTCCTGCCTCAGCCTCCCGAGTAGCTGGGACTACAGGCACCTGCCACCACGCCTGGCTAATTTTTTTGTATTTTTAGTAGAGACGGGATTTCACTGTGTTAGCCAGGGTGGTCTTGGTCTCCTGACCTTGTGATCCACCCGCCTCGGCCTCCCAAAGTGCTGGGATTACAGGTGTGAGCCACCGCGCCCGGCCGAGAGGTGCCAAACACTTTCCAACAACCAGGTCTTGTGAGAATACAAGAACAGCAAGGGGGAAGTCTGCTCCATGATTCAATCACCTCCCACCAGGCCCCTCCTCCAACACTGGAAATTACAATTCGACATGAAACTTGAGTGGGAACACAGTGCCAAACCATATCACATATCAAAATGGCTATATTGGGATAGCCATTTTGTCACACCAGGCAGAATATTTTCTCAGTCTCCAGATTAAAAGATGCATGTTGTGATAGCTACAACTTCATATGGATGTCCTATGCCACCATGGACAGAAATCAGAAATGTCCCTAGCATCATGAAACCAATTCTAAAAGTTTTCTAAGTAATCTTCTTGCTGAATTACCAACCTTTCCTGCAATTATGTCCATTTAAATCACTAGAAAAAGGATACATCATTAAATTCCTAGGTATAGCTAATAAACAGCAACACTCTGACCAATTTCCAGTGTGAAGAACAGCATGGTAAAAGCCTACCCAAGCACAGTGTCGCCTGCTCTGCTGATACTCTAGTGACACAGCTTCTCTCCAGATTTGGCCCAATGGCTTCAGTCTGTGCTATTATGCCTGAGCCTAAGTGGACTCTGTAGCAGAGACCAGTGCACCCATAGATAATTAAACAGAAACAGGCTTAGGTAGAATTCCATATAGCTTTTCCTATATAAAACAGAAAGAATCAGAGGGTCAAATGGGCTGACCCCAATCCCACACATACAAACTACTCCTCCCTCAGGTTTATGTTAGAACCAACTTAATTTCTAAATAAGGCAAAGTATATCCTGAAGCCTCCAGGCTATTTTTTTTTCTGAGATACTTGATTATTCCTTCTTCCCTTTCAATATTTCTAAATAGAATAACATAAGGCTTTTTTAATATTCCTTTTGATTTAAAGTTTCCTTTTTCAGGTTCTACAAAGAGCTGCCATCTCTAAAAGGAGAATTTTATTAGACATCAGTTTTGTTTTGAAGTACAATAGACACTGATTTCTTAGAAATTCTAGCATTGGAAAAATCATTGTGACAACTGGTACTAAGCACACTTATTTTCAGCATTCTAAACACTGGAATAGTTCCCAAAGAATGGATTTTATTGCTGTAATTACAACGTAGTGACAACTACATATGAAAGTGTTGCTAAAACCAAGAGTATGAATTACAACCATGGTGTGTCCAAACACAACTGCAGGCCTGACATAGAGAGTAAACAGATATCCAAAGAAACTCAGCTTCCCCTCAAGAAAGGACTACTCTAGGCATTATTACTACTTCATTCCAGTTTTTATTTACAACAAGCATGAACAACTATAAATATAACACTAATTTAGGTGCAAAAGTTTTGCAAAAAGCAGGATTAAAAAAAAAAGACCAAGTACTTTTCAACATAAGTACATTATCTCATCTAATCCCACTAGTCCTTCACGGGAGCCCTTAGCCCCATCTAGACACTTCTATTCATTATCCCCAAAACACATTTTACAAAGTTGTTTTTACATTTTCACTAAATTGTATGAGTCCTTAGAAGTTCCAACCAAATGCCTGCTCATCCACATATGTATTTATGTTTAATATATATATACTTATTATATATACATTTACATATATTTACTCCAGCCATATATCACCAGACCTTTCGGGTACTGGTTTCTCTATCTGATAAAGATAATAACAGGAAGTATCTTTAAAAAAGTCATTGACAGAATAAATATATATAAATGTACATATAATATAGTAATATACAATATATAATACTATATAATATACTATTATAACATATAATATAGTAAATATATACATACTTTCATATATATGTACAGTAAATATGTGTGTATAGTAAATATATATTATATATACAGTAAATATATTATACATAGTAAATATACATTATATATAGTAAATATATATATAAAATATAGATACTTATAAATTTCCTCCCCTCTGCCCACAGGCAGGGCTCATGGCTCTTGCTCCATTAGTGACCCTAGTACACCAAGAACAGTGCCTCATGCTTTCTGGATACTTAATAAATATTTACTGACTGCAAAAAAGTAAGAAAACACTCACATTTCTCTAAATGAGAGAGCTGGTCTATCAGTCAGGGACCTGGGCAAGAAGAGATGGCACACTCCATCTGGGTTACTGAAGGCAAGTTAATGAAGGACCTATTCACAGCAAGTGTAGGCAAGGTTGACAAAATCAAAAAGGGACAGTGCAGTATCTCAGGTCTAGTCACCACAAGAACTTAGCACTCCCTCTGCCCTTGGCTTGAAGGGACAAGGAAAGGGAACAGTTACCAGAATGCTGAAGAGGGTTCCTGACAGATGTGACCCTGGGTAAAGACATGGCAGCCAACCCCACAGGGAGGGCACCAGGACAATGACTACTCTGACTGCTCTCCCCCATTGTCCTATGTTCTCCTGCCATGACATCTCTCATGAGCTGAACAGGACAGGAATTTGGGGCAAGGGAACCTGCTGATGCCTCCTGAAGGGTCACCACTGCTCCTGGACATAGGTGGTGAAGAGAAGAGCAAGGAGTCTATCTGTTTTGTTTTTTTGAGACAGGGTCTCACTCTGTTGCACAGGTTGCAATGCAGTGGTGCGATCACTGCTCACTGCACCCTCAACCTCCCAGACACAGAGGTGATTCTCCTATATCAGCCTCCCAAGTATGTGGGATGACAGGCATGCACCACCACATCCAGCTAATTTTTTAATTATTTGTAGAGATGAGGTCTCCCTATGTTGCCCAGGCTGGTCTCGAACTCCTGGGCTCAAGCAATCTACCCACCTCGGCCTCCCAAAGTGTTAACATTATAGGCATGAGCCACCATGCCCAGCAACGAGTATATTTATAAGGGCAAGTAGAAGATACACAACTTGGTGTGAGTTCAACTGCAGGCCCTGGATTCAGATAGCCTGTGTTCCTATGTCACATGCACCACTCAGGGAATACATCACCAAGCCTTTCTAGTAATGGTTTCTTTATCTGATAAATGAAGATAATAATAGGATGTATCTTTTAAAAAGTCATTGACAGAATTAATTATATAGTTGTCCCTAAATATCTGCAGGAGATTGGGCATCCCACTAGTACACTAAAATCCACAGATACTCAAGTCCCTGATAAAAAGTGACACGGTATTTACATATAACCCACACACATCTTCCCCTATAGTTTTAAATCATCTCTAGATTACTTATAATACAAAATACAATTAAATTCTGTGTAAACAGTTGTTATACTCTATTGCTTAGGGAATAATGACAAGAAAAAAGTCTGCACTGTTCAGTACAGACACAACCATCCATTTATTCCCCAAGTATTTTCGATCTGCATTTCGTTGAATCCACAGATATGGAACCCATGGATACTGAGGGTCACCTGTTTATATAGAAGTATTTACTAGCTCCTGGTACATATTTAGTACCTGAACAAAAGTTATTAATAATGATAGTAATAGTTATTTTCATCCTCACAAAAATCATACTTTCCTAGAAATTTTGTTCCAGAAATTCTGGTCTTTAACTAATAAGAATACCTAGAAAATCTGATCTTATGTTCTGCCCCATCTTTCACTATAAATGCTTATATGAATTAGACTTGGATTATAAGATTATATTTGGAATGTTGTCCTTCAACTTCTACTCCCAAGATAAAAGATTTTTGCTGTTCATTTTCCCCAATCCCTGTGTCCTATAGCTTTTTCCCTGAATATTCCCTGGCCACTCTAGCTGCAGTTCCCAGGGTACTGTAGGTACCAACTTGTCAGTGAGAGCAGGCTGGGATCTACAGAGATTTACAACTCACTGATCATAAAGCCAGCCTCAGCAGAGTTAAAAAAAATTGCCCAAGGACACATAGTTAATAAGCACCCATGCCAGGGCTGGATACTTGGCCATGGAGGAATCTAAAGGCCTAAGAAACAAAGGCAGAATAGGTCCTAGAATTAAAGGATAATGCTTTCAGCTTCAAAGGGGTCTAAAGTTCTGCAAAACACTCTGTTACGAACTATATGCCATCATTTCCATCAGGTTATAGGATATCCTATGATAAAGCATTTAAAACAATACATGCTAAACATGAGGTACAATTAATGCATAGTCATTTGAAGTCCCCCTCCTCCCCCCAAAATCTTGGCATGCTTACAGATGGCATAGTCTATAAAATAATGAAATGGTTTAATGTTACATTCAAGATGTCTCTTTTTATTAGTACTCTATAAAATGTTCCTACTATAGTCTCGAATGACTGAAAGCAATACCATTCCGAAGTCCAGTTTACTCTAAATAACAAAATTACACTTGGCTAAAGCAAGTTTAAATATATAGCGATCAGTAATACACAATGTGTGAAAATCAATTCAGCACATTGCAGTGCTAGATCACAATTCTCCAGTTCTTTAACTGCACATGACCATATTCTTTCAAACACTGACATACCTAGTAACTGTTACATAAAGTAGAAGATGATATCTATGAAATCGCTTTAATAAATTTGTGAGGTTGCTAAGCAATTCAGGCTCTTTAATGAATTTCTGGGGAATTGTAAACTTCTACTTTCATATGTGGCTAATACTCAGTAGGTTCCTAACTATGAAACCAGGTTACAACATCTTCAGTAAAGTACACAAGTCATAACCCATTCTTTATAAATCTGGAGACCATTTCTTGTTGCTTTTTCCATTTTTGTATAAGAAAACGCATAGTTTGATTGCTGAGAGTCCAATATCATTGTTTTTAAAACCTAGTCACAGGTTGATTCCTTAACATTGGACACTGGAATTCTTGCAGCTTAGAGATAGTTTCTTACCAGGGATAATGCCGTAAGAAAGTAGAAAATCCATCTCAGAACGACTTTGCCATCCTCACAACCACCACCTTTCTGTCAGGGTCTTCCACTGCCCCACACCTCTTCCGCATCTCTCTCCTATGCCCCACTGCAGTACACTGTGCATTCTTCTCTCCACAAGCCAAAGTGCCTTCCAAAAGAGATACTGTTGTGAAGCTAAAAGGACACGCTAAAACCCCCAAGAAAGAAATGAACATTGAGGTCAAGGGGGACAGAGGGAAAAAAAAAAAAGCTGTAACCAATTTGCTAAAGGTATCATAAACTATTATAGCCTTTATAGAAGGCTATCCAGAAATGTAAATCACGAGTAATAAAAATACTAAAAATACTGTTACTTTAACCTAGTTATCTTCTGGGATTTTAAAGAAATAATCTAAAATATGAACAAATATGTGTACACAAAAATTTTCACCATAAGTATTTACAATAGTAAAAATATGAGAATTTAGTACACTTCTGATACAGGAACAGCTAAACATGTTATACATCTATCTCAGACATTATGTATTATTTAAATGAATGTGTATATTAAATCTACAGGTATACTGAAACTGGAGGTATATTAAACCTGGAAGGAAATTAACTGTTAACAATAGGACAGTAGGACAATAACTGAAGACTTCAAAAAAGCCTGACCAATGTATCTTTCTTGGAAAACTATTAGTATTTGTACCATGTATTAATTATTAATTACATTAGTACTTTTACAGAGTATAAAATATTAAATTTTGTCTTTCAGTATTAATGATAAATCCTATGAAAGGACATGCAAAATGCTCCTGGTAGCCTCTTCAGTTTCTGAGGATATGAGGGTAAAAAACCAAAAATGTACTCCAGATTAATTGTACAAAAATTATTGGGGATAAGACAAAAGGGAAAAAAACACATTAAAACAGTATGAAAGAATAAAGGGATTAAGTGTTTATTTTCCAAAGTTTTAGAATATGGTTCTATTATTTCATACTAGAAATACCTAAGAATAACAATGATTTTAACTCCTTACAGGGACAGAATTGTTGGTGAATGAAAATGAGCGCCATAAGTCTATATATGAAGATACTGTAAAGGGGTTTCAGAAGCCTAGGCTGCAGGAAGGAGGCCACTGTCAACTGCAAAGTTTGGCTAAAATTGCTGGAAGGGGTAGAATGCAGTTGTAAAACAGTACAGGGTGAGTTTAAGGAAAGTATCATTGACACATGGGAAGAAAAGTTAGAAAGAAGCCTAAGTATAAAAAAAGCTAGGCTGGAATAATCTAAGGCTGTGAAACCAAAGAAAAGGCTAAATTCAGGGCCATAAGAGCACAAGATGGCAGGAGGGTAACTAAAACAGTTCTCCTGAAGGCAGGACAAAGGAAACACCAGTAAAGTTAGGAAGTACATGCTGGCTGCTGCTTTGTGAGATTTCAGGTAGATAAACATGGCATCAAGAAAGAAAAGGACCCTGTTCTTCTAGAATTTAAAAAGAATAACTGCACACACACACACACACACACACACACACACACACACTCACCTGACCTCTAAAGTCTTAGCTCAGAAAGGCCTGTGAGCCAAATAAGGATAATAAAGAGCCTAGGAACACCAAGCACACAATACACTTGTATCTAGCTGGATAACCTGACCTGGACTTTTCATTTGATTCCAGGTTATGAAGACAGCGCTCTGAAATTAGGTCCCATCAAAGGAAAGATTAGTTATATATCTCCCCAGAGGTACAGCTCTGGGTCTACAGTACACCATGACACTGGAAACAGAAATAAAGCATCATCAAAAACAAGGTTTATGCTTTGATGGACAAAAAACAAAACACACCCCTACTTTGATTCTCCTTTCTATACCTATAACATCATAAATTAATTTAAATTAAAATATTTAATTAATATTTAAGCCAAACAAATATTTAAGCCAAAGAGTATTCACCTCAAGAGAGGCTTACAAACATATACATTTAACTACAGAGAGGAAGACCCATTAAAGAAGGTAATTAGGAAGGCTATCCTGGCAACTTAACAAAAAAGACAAATATGCCTTACAAGAGTAAACAAATCTTGAGGAAAAAGCTAATCAAAAGTATAGTGGTTCAAAGACTATCACATTATTTTTTAATAAGATGGGGAAATGATTTCTATTATGATACATTAATAATTTACAAAGCATTTTCACATATATTATCTTCCATACAAAGCTTGAGAGGTAGATTATTATTATCCCCATTTTACACGACAAGGAAATAAGTGACTCATTAGTTGGCAGAGCCAGGCCCGAACCACATATCCCAGGATGTGTCTTTAACACCTCCATACAGTGATATGATACATGGAGCACTGCCCAGGTGTCTGTCCATCATTGAGAGTTAATTTGAAGCTTCCTGTCAACATATGTAGCCTCAAAACTTGTGAAACAGTGCTCTACCTCTCTTAAGAAAGAACAGATAACATTTCCAAAAGCACCATGTTAATTCCTGAGGAACGAAGATACATTAGAGAAGAGTCTGCAAATAGAAAATCAAGTAAAACCAAATAATCCTAAATTTTGTCTGGAAATATCAATTCAAGACATACATATGTAATCTTTATTTAGCTGTGTTTCATTGAAAAGACCTAGACACACTGACCAACCCAGTAACAATGATTACTCCTTCTACCTAGATCATGGTCCTCAAAATACCATTTCCCACTCTAAGAAACCAAAGCTCCAAGGAGAAACAGCTGATCCTCGTCCGGGGGAGGAAAAGTACAAAATGAGCCTGAAAGATTTTGTCATAGCAGTAAGCAAAGAAGCCATCAAAGACTGTTGAGATCCTGTCAACTTGAAGAGGCTTCCACTGGCTAAAAAACTTGGAAACATGAGCAAAGGGAATAATTGATAAGCCCCCAAAATATGGTATATTCATGTGTTGTGAATAATGTTTTAAAGGTGCTCAATAGTCACCTCTGAGGATTCTGGGAAATCAACCTATATTTTTCTGGAAACCAGTAAAAAAGGGAAAGGATGAAGTATTAAATTTGCCTTTGCTCTACAACCTATCTCGCAGGATAGGAAAATCATTGATGAAAATTTCTCTCTTTATAAAACTATTCTAGCTAATGAATGAAGAAAGAATGGAAGAATATGACTATCTTGTGAGCCCCCAATGAAATAATAGACCTAAGCGATGATCATCTATGGCCACTAATATCGCAGGGGAAAAAAACTATATTATGCAATTCTTGATGGAGGTACATAAAAACAGCTGTGAAATATTACCTCAAAAATACATTTAAGTTTCTAGATCTAAATATCAATTAAAATAAATATGTAGAACAGAAAAAAAATGTTAACACCATAGAATACAACCAGCAAAATACAGACTCTGGAGAATGAGAGGACAAATGATCCTGTTTCTTCAACAAATAAATTGCAAGATCAAAAAGGAGGGGAAGGAAGACTCATATATAAATGAGAATTAAGAGACATGACTCACCTGCAATGCATGGTCCTTGTTTAAATCCTGATTCAAGAAAACTGAATATTCTTTTAAAAATGATGTTTACAATAGCTAAGATTTGGAAGCAACTTTAAGTATCCATAAACAGATGAATGGATAAAGAAAATGTGGTATATATACACAATGGGGTACTATTCAGCCATAAAAATATGAGATCCTGTTATTTGCAACAACATGAATGGAACTGGAGATCATTATGTTAAGTGAAATAGGCCAGCCACAGGAAGACCAACATCGCATGTTCTCACTTATTTGTGGGATCTAAAAATCAAAACAATTGAACTCAGGGATATACAGAATAGAAGGATGGTTACTAGAGGCTTGGAAGGATAATGGGGAGCTAGGGCAGGAGGGAGGTGGGAATGGCTAATAGGTACAAAAAAATAGTTAGAAAGAATGAATAAGGCCTACTATTTGATAGCAAATAGGGTAATTATAGTCAATAATAGCTGTACATTTAAAAATAACTTAAAGAGTGTAATTGTATTGTTTACAGCTCAATGGATAAGTGCCTGAAGGGATGCATACCCCATTCTTCATCATGTGCTTGTTTCACATTACACATTTGCCTGTATCAAAACATCTCATGTACCCCATAAATATACATACCTACTATGTACCCACAAACCTTTTAAAAATTAAGTTTAAAAATATATGTTTTTTTGAGACACAGTCTCGCTCTGTTGCCCAGGCTGGAGGGGAGTGGCATGATCTCAGCTCACTGCAACCTCTGCCTCCTGGGTTCAAGTGATTCTCCTGCCTCAGACTCCCAAGTAGCTGGGGCTACAGGTGTGCACCACCATGCCTGGCTAAATTTTGTATTTTTAGTAGAAACAGGGTTTCATCATGTTGGCCAGACTGGTCAAACTCCTCACCTCAGGTGATCCACCTGCCTCGGCCTCCCAAAATGCTGGGATTACAGGTGTGAGCCACCGTGCCCAGCTAAATTTTTAAAAAGTAAAAAAAGAGGCAATCGGTGAAATTTGAACCTTATCCTACCAATGGATGATATTAAATTAACTGTTTTTAGATGTGAAAATATGATGCTATTTCTAGAAGAATCCTCATCTTTTAGCGATACATACAGAAATATTTATGAATGAAATGTGACATCTGAGGTTTGCTTCAAAATAATCTAGGGATGTTGGGGGGTACAGATTTCATATTCATAAAACAAGCAAGGTCAGGAATTGATATTTTTGTAGTAGTATATAGGGTACATAGATATGTTTTCCTCTTCTCTGTTTTTCTGTATGTTTGAAATTTACCATAATTATAAAATACACCCTCTTTATTAAAAATTCCCCAAGCTAAGTAGTATAAAGCTTCCTAAAAAAATTCAAAATAGAACTACCTTATGATCTGGCAATCTCACTGCTAGGTATATATCCAAAGAAAATGACATGAGTATTTTGGAGAACTATCCAAACTCTCATGTTCACTGCAGCATTATTCACAATAGCCAAAGTACAGAATCAGTCTAAGACTCCATCAGCACATGCATGGATAAAGAAAATATGGGAGGAGGCCAAGATGGCAGATTAGAAGCAGCTGCTGTACGTGGCACTCACCGAGGGGAACAAAAGGTGCGAGTGAATACTGAAATATCCAGGAACTTGCATTGACACTGATTAGAGAAACACCTTGACCCACGGAGAATGAAAAGCAGGGTGGGGTGATGGCCCACCCAGGAATGACACAGAGCCAAGGGAACCCCCACACCCAGCCAACAGAAGCAGTGAGTGAATGTGCAACCCTGGGAAGCCAGGCTTCTCCCATGGATCTCTGCAACCGTAGGAACAGGAGATCGTCTCGTGAGCCCTGGCCACCAGGGCCTTGGGCACAACACATAGAGCTGTGTGGAGACTGCAGGTACTGGCAAAACCCAGGCACCTAGGGTATGGAGCAGACCCTCTGGCAAACCACAGCAGCCCTACAGAAGAGTGGGCAGACCACTAAAAGAAAAAAAAGCAAACAACAACAATTTAAAAAACCACAAATACCCCATCCAAAGGTCAGCAACCTCAAAGATCAGAGGTAGATAAGCCCACAAAGATAAGAAAGAATCAGCGCAAGAACACTGAAAACTCAAAAAGCCAGAGTGCCCCTGTATTAGTCTGTTCTCATGCTGCTGTAAAGAACTGCCTGAGACTGGGTAATTTATAAAGGAAAGAGGTTTAATTGACTGACAATTCCACATGGCTGAGGAGGCCTTAGGAAACTTACAATCATGGCAGAAGGCAAAAGGGGAGCAAGGCGTCTGACATGGTGGGAGCAGGAGCAAGAGAGAGTGAACAGGGAGGTGCCACACACTTTAAAATGACTAGATTTCATGACATCTCATGATTGCGAGGATAGTAACGAGGGGATGGTGCTCTTTAATGGGAAATCTGCCCCCATGATCCAGTCACCTCCCCACAGGCTCCACCTCCAACAAATTGCTCTGGCTACTATAAATTTCTAATTTATCCTCCAAACTTAGTAGAAATAAATAAGACTTCTTTCACTGAGGGCTGTCTAAAATGTTATCATTTCATCTCCAAAATGAAAAACTTAAAATTCAACATTCTTAAAAAAATTGCAACCCATAATTTCATATCCAGCCAAACTAAACTTCATAAACATAGGAGAAATAAGATCCTTTTCAGAAAAGCAAATGCTGAGGGAATTTGTTACCACCAGATCTGCCTTACATGATTCCTGAAGGAAGCATTAAATATGGAAAGGAAAAACTGTTACCAGCCACTACAAAAAAACACTGAAGTACACAGACCAATGACACTATGAAGCAACCACATTAAAAAGTCTGCAAAATAACCAGCAGCTAGCACCATGATGATAGGATAACAATACTAACCTTAAATGTAAATGGGCTAAACGCCTCAATTAAAAGACACAGAATGGCAAGCTGGATTAAGAACCAAGACCCAGCTGGGCACAGTGGCTCATGCCTGTAATCCCGCACTTTGGGAGGCTGAAGCACGCAGATCACGAGGTCAAGAGATCGAGACTATCCTGGCCAACATGGTGAAACCCCATCTCTACTAAAAATACAAAAATTAGCTGGGCATGGTGGTGCATGCCTGTAGTCTCAGCTACTTGGGAGGCTGAGGCAGGAGAATTGCTTGAACCCGAGAGGCAGAGGTTGCAGTGAGCTGAGATCGTGCCACTGCACTGCAGCCTGGTGACAGAGCGAGACTCTGTCTAAAAAACAAAAAAAAAAAAAAGAAAGAAAGAACTAAGACCCATCGGTACAATGACTTTGGGGTATATAATGAAATTAAGGCAGGAATCAAGAAATTTTTTGAAACTAATGAGAAAAAGATAGCTGTACCAGAATCTCCGGGATTCAGCTAAAGCAGTGTTAAGAGGGAAATTTCTAGCACTAAAATGTCAACATCAAAAAACTACAAAGATCTCCAGTTGACAAGCTAACATCACAACTAAAAGAACCAGAGAACCAAGAGCAAACAAACCCCAAAGCTAGCAGAAATAACCAAGATCAGAGCTAAACTGAAGAAGACAGAGACATAAAAAACCCTTCAAAAAAATCAACATATCTAGGAGCTGGTTTTTTGAAAAAATTAATAAAATAGACCACTATCTAGACTAATAAAGAAGAAAAGAAGATTCAAATAAACACAATCAGAAATGATAAGTGGGATATTATCACTGACCCCACAGAAATACAACCAACCATCAGAGAATATTATATTATCTCTATACACATAAACTATAAAATCTGAACTTGAAAAGAAAGTCTAACACATTAAGATATTAATGTAAATGTGAGCATTAATAGGACACTTCCCATCACAACTCTTTATCGTGCTCCAAAAATTAAATAGAATCCATTTTACCACTAAAAGACAAAAATTGCAACTATACGCTAAAGATATATACATCCAAATACACAAAAATTTTGAGAAAATCTACAATATCAAGAATAAATCATTATAAAATAACATCCAATTGTTCAGCAAAACCAAGTATCTAGATGCAAGATGAGATGGATAGAGATGTTCAAAAACATAAATATCCACAAATATTTACAAATATTACCTTATTTTTCATGAAACTGTACCATCCCAAATCACTCATGTGCTTCCAAAATTTTTCAAAGTTCCCTAAGCAGACACTTCAAAACATTTTTTCAACAATGCTTCACACCCTATAAAATCCCTATACCGTGGTTACCCTACACACAAACCCCACTACCCTTGCCCTGACCCTTGCATTTCTTTACAAGCACACCTGCTAACATTACCCATGGTAATAAAAACCAGTTTGGATCAGATTGAGTATAACACTATCAATATAAAGAATAGAGGGTACTAGATGAGGCCTAGTTTGTATAGTTTATATCATCTATACAAATCATAAGCTCAAGAATTTAAGATCTTGTTTCAAGGCATAGAAAGTAAACAGTGGCAGAATTCCTAATTTCAGGTACAGAGAGTATAGGAGCACATATACTCTAGATTTATGACTTTATTCTCAGGTTTGGAGATATCTTACTTTATGTAATGCTGCATATACACATCAATAACTTTTCGGTATATTTGTTAAATATTTCTTGACCAGATCAGAAAAAAGTCTATAGTATTTGGTATGTAATTTTATAAGAAATATTGGATAAAATAATTTGTCCTTTTTAGAGACACATTTCAATAAGATATTAATAGAATATAATTCAGAATCACTGCCACTGGGGCAATGAAACATACTACTATGCATAATAATAGCACTGAAATTATAAAGATATGGTGAGATTTAATAAGATACTTCAGGTAAAAATCTTAGCACTACGTCTGGCCCAGTGTGGCATTATACAAGTGTTGTTGCTGCTGCTACTATGGTTACTATAGCTGTAATACTACTGGAAAAATCAGTGATTCGTGAGAACAAAAGTATGTGCAGCAGATACAGAAAGGAGGTAGAGAACTTAATAAATCTACTGATAGATAATTCTGAAGAAATGGAAGCAGTAATCATTGTGGCGTGATTGTGCAACCGATGCCTGAACACGGTTTTGAAGATGACTGAATTCATGAGATGCATCCAATCAGAGGCAAGAACACAAGCAAAGGACAGAAAACGTGAAAGTTCACACAAATACAGAAAAGCAAATCACTGCAGGAGCACGGTATGTAAAAATGTAAAACAGAAAGTAGGGAAGGGGCAAATCTCTAATTCTTGGAAAGCTAATTTTATTGCTCTTATTTGCAGATTTTCAAAGGATGTCATCTTTCCACTTAAAGTTTCTATAGGATTTCAAAATCATTGTATTCTTTTCTTCTTGCTTCTCCTTGAGCAGCTATAAATTTGATCATCTCTTTTGTTCCCCTGTGAAAGCTTTGGACAGTGTCCAACTTCATGAGGTCTTTTTGAAGTGAGTTTAGGCAATGGGATGCACATCCTGTTGGAACTGTATATGGATATTTACTGGTTATCTCCTCCAAGCTCTTCCAAATAACATGTATTAACTGACACTACAGTGAAACAAATGCCAAACAACCTTTACCATATATATTCTACAACTGCCATACTCTATAGAATGTTTGCTTTCTTCATCCTATTAAACTAAAGAAACATGATTTTTAAATCACAAAATTTCTTCCTTCTCCACATAAATTTGTCTGAGAGGATGTTAAGACATTGTGCTTCATTCATTTCCCATCTACAGATAACATTACCAATGCACAAACTTTTAAAGAACAATGTTCAAAGGCAATCTCCCACATAATGATCTTAGTAGCCTAAAAATGTATACTGGCAAGGTTTTAGTTAGTCATAATGTCACTGTGTTTTCTAATACATTGTTTTTATGTATGTTCAACTTTCCCTAACCTTGAGTGTCAGATGGTCAGAAAATGAAGTTACTGATAGGTTTTGAATATAATTGCTTATGTGTCATTGCTAACTGATCACTTAACAATGCTGATTAAATCACTATGTTGTTGCAGGAAAAGAAAATAAGCAGAAAAATTTCAAAATCATTGAAAAGAGCTATTTTCCTGTTCTCTCCCCTCTCTTTAAATTTATGCATTTACACATCAACCTGTGGTGTTTAAGCAGCTTTAGCAAAAATATTTGTCAATCCTACTTGCCCATGCATATTATCACAAACTTCCCTTACAGAACCTGTTCCATAGAACACTGACTTTATTTTTCTAAAGTTAATTAAAAAAAAAAAACGGGAATTTAGAATTAACACACAGACTTTGCAGTGGCATTTTCCAAGATGATCTTCCTAAAAGCAAAGCGGGATAGGGAGAAACTCCTGTAGTCTTCAAAAGGGTGGTTAATAATTAGAGTCCAAAAATTTTGCTCAAGAAAACCAAGTTAAACATATACACAAAGATCTAAATCAGGGGTGTCCAATCTTTTGGCTTCCCTGGAAAACACTGGAAGCAGAAGAATTGTCTTGGGCCACATGTAATATACACTAACTACTAATGATCACTAATCAGCTAAAAAAAAAAAAAAACGCAAAAAAACTCATAGTGTTTTAAAAAAGTTTACTAATTTGTGTTAGGCCACATTCAAAGGCAACCTGGGGCTGCAGGTTGGACAAGCTTGATCTAGATTATAAAATTTACATACAAATGTCAGAGTTTTCAAAATTGCAGTTAAGAGATAACTGTATACAAATGATGAAAGAGTAGTTTTTAATGAAATGCTATTTCACAATCTTAAAGTCTTTTTCTGGGATTAAAAGCCTTGAATTCCAGGTTCCCATCATTAGCACAAACATAGTATATTCATACCAGGAGATAATGCTTACGAACAAAAAGGGAAAAAAACTATCAATAAATATGACAACATGAATAGATCTCAAAAACATTAAGCTTAGTGAAATAAGCCAGGCACAAAATAGTGTGTGCTGTATAATTCTTTTTATATGAAATTCTAGAACAAGCTAACTTGTTTTTGGGAGAAGGAAACTGATTCTGAAGGGGTTATAAGGGAATTTTCTAGAGTGATGCTAATGTTCTATAACTTGATAACAGTTTGGGTTACTAAGTTGTACAGTTTTTTCAAATCTTAGCTAATGTACACATAAGATATGTACATTCTATTGTTATGAAAATTTTAAATAAAATATAAATAATGTTGAACTGTAACTGACTTGTATGCCAAACATTTGCAATTTACTTTAGAATGAATCAAAATATAAGATGGATTAACAGAGAGAATCTAGGTTGTATTAGTCAGTTTTCACACTGCCATAAAGATAGTACCCAAGACTAGGTAATTTATAAAGGAAAGAGGTTTAATTGACTGACAGTTCTGCATGCCTTGGGAAGCCTCAGGAAACCTACAATCATGGCGGAAGGCAAAGAAGCACCAAATGCCTTTTTCACAAGGTGGCAGGAAAGAGAGAAGACGACCAGTGAAGGAGGAATTGTCAACACTTACAAAACCACCACATCTCATGAGAACTCACTATCATGAGAACAGCATGGAGGAAACCATCGCTGTGATCCAATCACCTCCCTCCCTTGACAGGTGGGGATTACAGGTCCCTCCCTCAACATGTGGGGATTACAATTCAAGATGAGATTTGGGTGCAGACACAGAACCAAACCATATCATAGGTGTTGGGCATTTGGGTGTTCCTGTGAAATTCTTTTAACTTTGCTTTACTTTTGAAAAAAAAATCATAGAAAATGTTGGGGGAAAATAAATCTTTCAAAACTGGGAGTGGGGGAAAGCTAGATAATAAAACAAACACATCACAAAACTGATATTATTGAAAAGTTCAATTGTATTTATCAAAAGTTTGAAAGAAGAGGATTTTAAGAATCCAAAAATACAGAGGGAAAAAATACATTTACTACAGATTTTTAGAATTTTGTTTCAGAGCTTCATATTTCTAACAGGTTTGTTTTTACCCAGACTTTTTTTAAATATGTAAAAAAAAAAACTTGAAATCATATTTATCGTCTATCTGTATTCAAATAATGTATAATTATGTCTACTTCCTTTAAATTCATGGGTACTCCAAATAGCAATATCAAGCATTTTTGGTGGAAACATTTGCCACAGTAGTAGCAGATGAATGTGAAAGCAGCTACACTGCTTCTCAGTAAAATAGGCTCTTGAAAAGAAAAAAAGTAAGGAAAAAGGCAAGGAATTCATAGCTGAGTATGTTTAATTTTTGAAATCAGATTCCCTGCCATACTTTGAGGGGAAAAGAGTACCACACAGAAAACTGATTTGCCAAACATGTAATGTGGTGTTGGCTTTCTCTTTAGTTATTTATTAGGGCATTTCAAAAATCTGCCACCCAGACATGTATCCAAACTCACCCAAATTGTCAGTCCATGGGGATTACTACTTCTAATTGTTCACCTACCAAATTTTAAGTACTCCTATAAAACTAAAGTCAAAAAATTAATACTTTAAATTTTCCAAAAAATGACTGATGAGTCTTTATGCCAGAAATATTAAAGCTACCACTTATCTCACATACAGAAAACTAGGATTTCCTACTCCATGGTAATTCAAAATAATATACCCTATACATCTAAGTGAACCAATCTCAAATTTTGTAATTTTAAGCATATTTAGTCTCTGCAACACTAAAAAAGTATAGAAAAGGATGGTAATACAGCTGTGATACATCAGTAAATCATCACCTATTTCTTCCAAAAAGGAAGGAATTTTCATTATATGTGGAATATTATGAAATGAGCGTTTCATAGATTTTAAAAAGCTAAAAATCTATAAATAACCTAAATAACTTGTTCGAAAACAAAGGTTAGATCAGTCTTCCTTGGAAATGTCATTTCAAGGCATGTGTTATAAATATACCTAGAGCTAATAGCAATGTATTGCTTTAATTAGAGAGAAGAATTTAATTAATTGGAACGAAGAAAGCTGAGGCAGGAGAGAGATCTGAAATCAGCTGGGTACCAATGTCATGTATTTTATTTAATTTCTTCATTGTCAATGCTTCAAGAGACTTAGTGTACAAAGTCAACAACAATCCCTTATCCTGGCAGGGATCAGTTGTGGTTTTCCACTAAATTGCAAGAGTGATGCTTTCTACATGAATGGTGGATGGCCCTCTCAGCCGCATCTTAAAGGAGCATGTTCCTTGCCCTCCCTTGTCAGTTGCTGTCATGGAGAACCGATGCCCAAGCTTCAGTAGATGGCACTCTTTCCTCTGCCCATGAATCTCTAACAGAGCAGAGGGCATGCAGGCATGGCACCATTCAATATTTTTATTTTTGAATCCACAACAATTGTCCTGGGTAAAAGATTCATCTCTACCTTAAATAAATAAAAATGAGGATGAAAAGACAAGCTACAGAGAAAAAAATATTTCCAAACCGTATATCTTACAAAGGACTCATCTAGAATATAAAAATACCTCTCAAAATGCAACCGTAGAAAACAAAAGCCAATTGAAAATGGGTTAAAGACATTAAGAAAGATTTAGCTGAAGGCAAATCAGTACACAAAAAAAGGTTCAACATCACTAGCCATTAGGGAAATGTAAACTAAACCCACAATGAGATATCACTACACAATTATTAGAATGACCGAAGAATTAAATAGTGACAATATCAAATGCTGGTGAGGATAGAGAAACACTGGATCTCTTATACATTACTGGTGACAGTAGAAAGCAGTACAGCTACTCTGGAAAATCGTTTGACAGTTTACCAAATAACTAAAGATACACTTAACATATGGCCCAGAGATCACATCCCTGGGCCTTTATCTCAGAGAAATGAAAATTCTGTCCTTTGTCCACACAAAACCTATCTGTGATTGTTCATAACAGCTTTATTTATGATAACCAAAAACTGGAAACAAGCAGAATGTCCACGATAGGTGAATGGTTAAACAAACTAGAGTATATCCACACCATGGAACACTACTCAACAATTAGAAGAGTTTGTTTCCACATTTTGACTATTGTGAAAAATGCTGCAATGAATATGGAAATGCAAATACCTTTTCAAGATTCTGATTTAAATTCTTTTGTATAGGTACCCAGAAGTATGATTTGCTGCATTACATATTTCTATTTTTTCATTTTTTGAGTAGTTTTCACTGTTTTGCACGGTAGCCTGTACCATTTTACATTCCAACCAACAAGTGTACAAAAGTTCCAATTTTTCCACATCCCTGCCAACACCTATCTTTTGTTTTCTTGGTGTGAGATTATATTTCATTGAGATTTTTATTTTGAACATCTTTTCATATACCTGTTGGCCATATTCATAGGTCCTTCTTTGGAGAAATATCTATTCAAGTCCTTTGACAACTTTTTAAACCAGATTGCTTGGGATTTCTTTTCTTTTCAATTGAGTTATAGAATTTGCTTACATATTTTGGATATAACCCATTATCCCATTCCCCAGGCTGCCTTTTCACTCTAAATGATGGACATTTCACTCTAAATGTCCACCAACAGATGAATGAATAAAGAAATGTAGTATATACATACCATGGAATATTATGCAGCCTCTAAAAAGAAAGTCCTGCCAATGACATGGACAGAACTGTAGACATTATGGTATGCAAAATAAGCCAGTTACAAGAGGACAAATGCTGCAAGATTCTACTTACACAAGGTACATAAAGTACTCAAACACATAGAAGCACAGAGTATAATGGTGGCTGTTAGTTGGGGACAGGGAGAAATAAGCAGTTGCTATTCAATGGGTATAAATTCTTCATTTATGCAACATAATTCAGTTCTAGAGACCTGCTGTGGAGCATTATGCCAATAGTTAATACTGCTGTATTATATACTTAAAATGTGTTCAAAAGTGTTAAGAGGACAGATCTCATGTTAAGTGTTCTTACCACAATAAAGAAAAAGGGAATGAATTATTGATACATGCAACAACTTGGATATATCTCAATGACATTATGCCAAGTAGAAAAAAAAAGTCATTCTCAAAAGGTCATGGACTGCATAATTTCAGTTACACAACACACTCTAATTGACAAAATTATAGAGATATAGAAAAGAT
This sequence comes from Homo sapiens, assembly GCF_000001405.40. NCBI lineage: Eukaryota > Metazoa > Chordata > Mammalia > Primates > Hominidae > Homo > Homo sapiens. The sequence goes on along the minus strand of NC_000002.12, from coordinate 204,623,475 downwards.
TGTTGATTGCAAGGAAAAAGGGATGGTGGAGGGTGCTGGGTGTGGGTATGACTATAAAGGGGTGGCACGAGGGAGGTTTTTGTGATGGTAGAATATGGTAGAATAGTTCCTTATCTTGATTGTAATGGTGACATTAATCTATACAGGTAACAACATCGAGCTATACTCACATTTTATACAGATGCCAATATTCTGATTTTTATGCTGGTTTTGATATTGTCCTATAGCTATTTAACACTCAACCAGTGAAAGAAACTGGGTGAATAGTATGTGGGACCTCCCTGTGGTATCTTTGAAATTTCCTGTGAATCTATAATTATTTCAAAACAAAGAGTTTTAAAAAATAAAAATTGCTGGCTAAGGATACAGCCAAAAACTACTATTACACAAAAAGAATGCTCACTAATCTTTATTCTAGTAATTCAGAATTCAAGATCCAATTTATAGTCTGCCATCTCTGACAAAGCACTGCCTAAGCAAATGAAAGAGGCATATATCATAATGGGAACGTATCAAACATACTTAGAAATATCTATATTCACTTACTTTAACAGAACTTATGCATATTTTAATCTGAAGCTACAGATTTTCTACCAACTCATTATACATTAAAGAAGTTCTAGCACTAGCTCAAATGTTTACTGATAATACACTATATTCAACAGAATTTGTTGAATATAAGGATGAAGCCTAGAGTGGTGTAAAAGGTTAAAGAGTTGGAAGATCTGAATTTATAGCTGGCCTTGTCATTACTATACCACCTTAGACATGTTACTTACCCTCTTATGACTGTTTTATCATCCATAAAAATAATAATAGCAATGTAATAAATATAATATGCATCATAAATACGGCTATATAATAGTAGTATATAAATATAATTCTATAAATAAAGATTATAAAATGAATTAATATTATAGTCTAATACTCCAATGATTAATAGAGTTAATGTGACATGTTTAACCTAAAAGCCAGTAACATACAAAGGCTCAAACACGTGAGCTCTTTTTAATCTCAAAGAGTTTCTGATTCATCGAGGAAATGAGTTGTATGTAATTGTATACTGAATGAGCTATATATCCTCAACAGCAAATGCCATACACGGACAATGAGGGTATCGTGGGAGTTGGGAGAAGAGGGCTCACTTTTGCACAACAGAATGATGTTGGGCTTTGTGGAAGAAGCAGGTCTTGAGTCTCCCTCCAAGGAGGTACAGGATTTCCACCAACAGAAATGCTGGTTGCGTGTTTTGAGTTAGTGAGTATCACGCACATCATCCTGGAAAGACAGCACAATGAGAGGCATGCTCAAGTTGTCCTGTCTATCTAATTAGAAAGGTAGAACCTAAACTGAAGGGTTCCTGCTCAGAGTCCGAGTCTGGGCTGTCACTATTTCCATTTCTCTTACAAACTGTCACTGTACATGTGAAGCCATAGTGTACTCTTTACCCTCTGCCCCTCACCCCCTTGAAAGAAATACTAGACCTATGTCAGAGTTGAAATAACCAGTTCTCCCTGATAAAGTAGCAAGAGATGAACTAAGTGAGATTAGAACAATGATTGTACAAACTGATACTTTCAAACAGGAAAGTAATTGATAGCCACCAGGTGAATATGAGACACACCTTAACACCACAAGATCTTCCTTATCACTGTTTACAAGTTGTATAGACCCAGATAAATTAAATAATGGCTAATTTAGATAGACTGTTGAATAATTTTCTCTTTTCTCCCTGACTCAAAGACAGACTTTGTTTAAGATAATGGGCAGAGACCACAGAAAGCTATTTAGGAAAAACTAGATAAAAGGTTTCTAGAAATGTTTTGTCAAGTTCAGAATAAAGCTACAAAGTTAAATATACCGCTTTATTTATAAGAAATTTCCAAAACAAATCAATATTATAGATTTAAAATGGAGAAAAGTCAGACTGATATATTAGAATATTTTACTCAACTTCTCCATTCCCAAGCTATGTTAAGCACAGTCAAAATTAATTCAAGGATATTATAAACTGGCTACTTGGGATAGCATTATTTAGTAGAAATATTATGTCTAAACTAAGTTTATAGAACTTATTAAAGCATAGCGTTCAAGAGGTTTTAAAGGGTAGGTAGGAGCAAATACACAAATGAAACAATAAACTACTCACAGTGTCCAGTTTAGTGCAAAGGGGAAAAAAAGAATACACATCCACAGATGTCCTGCATTGCGTTAGAAGTTTTGTCGTCCTAACCCCAACCTTTTGACAGTTAATACCTTCCTACAGCTTTCAGTTTTTTTAGCTACTGTTTGAATTATCCATGAGATGGTAACATTCTTTTAATCTTTTGTAATCCATCTACTAAGATGTTTATTGAATACCTAGTGTGTGCTACTGAAGTTAGAATTCCTTTCAAGCCCTCAAGAAAAACCCCACAGAGGTACATATAAGCTTGGCATTCCTCTTATTTTGATGTCCAGGACACTAGCGTATTCTTTACATTACAGTGAAACACAGGTACTCACATTTCTAAATAATTAAAACTGTTCTGTATCTGTAACTTGCTATAAGTGTAGATCAAAGTCTCTCAGCATAGGGAAAGGGCACTCAGAATAACGGACGCAACTTCTTCAAACTCCTCTGTTCCTTGCCCCATTCCCCTAGCACTCTCAGATCATCAAAACAGAGATTTCTTGGCACAGGTAGCCACCACTATTGCTGAAAGTACATACTTCCCATCAAGCATTCTGGGCTCCAACTTGCCTACACAGCTAACCTACAGTACAGGACTACGTATACAGTTAGTGCCCTCTATACATGCTTTTTATTGTTAACCTACACAAGTGGCTGTGAGTTCAGACTTGACTCTAACACCTTCTCATTTCTTCCTCAGCAGCAGGCATTATTTCAGCATACCACCTATGGTAGATAACGGCCCTGTTCATAGGTAGTCCAGTTCTTCTTCCTCCCAGGACATGACAGCATCACACTTCCCTGTCCCCTCTGATGTTAAAGTACAGTGCTGCGACTTACTTTGGCCAGTGAATCATAACAGAGATGAAGTATGCCACTTCTGGGCTGTAGCCTTTAAGAAAGGTGCATGGACCGGGTAAGGTGGCTCACACCTGTAACCCAAGAAAGGTTCATGGGCCGGGTGAGGTGGCTAACACCTGTAACCCAAGAAAGGTGCATGAGCCGGGTGAGGTGTCTCACGCCTGTAACTCCAGCACTTTGGGTGGCCCAAGCTGGTGGATCATCTGAGGTCAGGAGTTCAAGACCAGTCTGGGCAACATGGTGAAACCCCCATCTCTACTAAAAATAAAAAAATTAGCCGGGCATGGTGGCACACACCTGTAATCCCAGCTACTTGGGAGGCTGTGGCAGGAGAATTGCTTGAACCCAGGAGGCAGAGGATGCAGTAAGCTGAGATCACACCATTGCACTCCAGCCTGGGTGACAGAGCGAGATTCCATCTCAAAAAAAGAGAGAGAGAGGTGCATGAGTCAGTAAGTATTCTCCCTGCCTCAGGGTTTGGAAAGGCTATGTGGAGATGGAGCTTTGTCAGCCTGAGTGCCTACAATAAGTAGAGCACCCTTCCCACTCACACGGAGTACCCAGTGTGCTCAAGAAGTACACCTGCCTGTGTTAAGCCATTATTATCAGAAAGTAAGTTGGACTACCCTGATACCGTCCCTTCTCTTATTTCTAAACAATTACACTCTGTTGGCATTCTTCTTTCTGCTACAGGTCTGAAGTTGTATCTTTGTCTTCTAACTCTTGCTTGTGTAGGGCACGCCTGGTGTGGTAACAAGATCGGTTCACGTGGTCTTAGAAATGGACACCCAGAAGTCATATTCTGATGGGAGCTTGCAGTTAATGCGGCAATAAAGCAACACCTCTGCAATCAAGAATTGTGGCTTATTCTTCCTTACCAGTGAGTCAACTTAGAGTACCTTGGTTCCTTAAAAAAAACCTGCTCTTTTGCTCTTATTTTTGTCATGTCACTCACGCTGCTGTGAAGCATATTATATATATAAAACTGTTTGATACTAGTGACAACTAGCAACATACTTGAAATATGCTCAAGACATTTTTACTTTTGCAAAAGAAGAAATGAGTGAACTGGGAAAGAACAGCTCTGTATGCTGTCACTAGTAGCCCATGATGAAATGCCTGCCAATTAATTCTCCTGAAACCATCCCTCAGCTTTCAGAGAGCTTGAAGACATGAGCTCAGCAGTGGTCATGCAGTGAGGCTGCTGGATGGCACACATTTAGAATGTGAAGTGATGTCCAGAAGCTGACCTTCTTCATTCTCAGCATTGCAACCTTGCTGAACAGCCACAAACCCAATATCCAGCCCTCTAGCACAACGGACTAAAAAGAGGTGAAGATGAAGGTTTCTCTCAAAGCAAAAAGAGCACAGTCAGACAGAAAATCAAGTGATTTAGGGTAGAGACTAACTCAGTAACAATATACTGAGCAAAAGAAACCAATACGCTAATGTAAAGACAGATGGAAGAAGAGAAAACAAAAAGAATCATTTATTCAGGAAAATATTTATTATGTAACTACCAAATGAACAAAATAAGATAGAAAAATCATAAGGAAAATAAAGAAGGAAAAATAGACTCCCAAGTCCATTAAGCCAAGTGTAGGAATTAAACATACAAATATGAAGACTGTCAAACAAGATATTCCTAGATAAAACTAGAGGGGTTCAGTCCTACTTTTCCTTTCTTCTCTGCTACTTATTTCATAAGTCCTTTCTCATGTCAAAAGAGTCTAGCAACTCTGGCTGCCTTAATTGCAAGAAATACACTAATAAATAAGTCACATTAGGAAATTAGAAGCTTAATATTTTACTCCTAAGCATTATTATTGTAAAAGAAGTTGCTTATAAATGACTTCATAATGCAAAGAAATGTTTCTAGGAGTTAAGAGTTCCCAACCCAAACTTTCAGGTGACACTGTCACTGTTGCAGTTGTGGACATGTCCACTAAGAGTGTGATCACAGTGTTCCAACCACTCTGAATAGCACTTTATCCATATTAACTCATTGACCTAAATCATCACTATAACCCAATAAAATATAATTTTATACATGTAGAAGCTGAGACTGAAATTACTAGTCAGAGGTCCCTCCAGTGGTACATGGCAGATATGGGTTTCCAATCCAGGTCTTTGTGATCCAAGGGTCTGTGCCCTTTCCACTGCACACACTCCATGCCACAGCACTATTCAGGGCACACTGTTCCCTCTATATGCTAGTTTGTGATCCCGGGTGAAAATTCTAGGACATAAACATGGCCCAGTAAGAAGAGCAGCAGTTCAGATAAGAAATGTTTTTGCAAAAAGAGACAATAAACAAGAAAACGTTCTCTCCACTGTCCATGGGCATTGGAAGAAATAACTTTGGAGAAAGCACAATTACATGGTTAAAAATGTTGGAAATAGAAATTGCTCTGCCATAAAGACTCATGCACGTGTATGTTCATCATAGCACTATTCACAATCACAAAGACATGGAATCAACCTAGATGCCTATCAACAGTGGACTGGCTAAAGGAAATGTGGTACATATACATCACAGAATACTGTGCAGCCAGAAAAAGAATGAGATCATGTCCTTTGCAACAACGTGAATGGAGCTGGAGGCCATTATCCTAAGCAACTTAACACAGGAACAGAAAACCAAATACTGCATACTGTCACTTATAAGTGGAAGCTGAACATTGAGTACACATGGACACAAAGAAGGGAACAGCAGACATCAGGGCCTCCTTGAGGGTGGAGAGTGGGAGTTACCTCTTGAGTGTTACACTGGTTACTTGGGTGACAAAATTGTCTGTACACCAAACCCCTGCAACACACAATTTACCCATGTAACAAACCTGCACATGTACCCCTTGAACCTAAACTAAAAGTTGGAAAGTTTAAAAAAAGAAAAAAAAATGTTGGAAAGCATTCCACATGCTTGTACATTCATGCTAGTTGCCTTGGCTTGGCTTATGTGGATATGCAAATTGGGTCTGTCCATCTCCCCAAAAAGACCTAGTCTGCCCTGCAAGACTGATTTTTACCTGGGAAAGCAACAGAAAAAAGATGGCATTTCAACTATGTCTAGAAGAAAGAAGAATTGTTAGGCAAAGTAAAGGGTCATAGTCACTTCTGTGATTTAAGTTCATCTACAGTCACAGGCTAAAGGAGGCTTGAAAGAATCAAGATGAGATTAAAGTATCATCAGGAGAGGCCAGCTGATTTCCACAGAAGGCTTGAGGTTGTACCATTTACCTGTATAAATTTACCCCAGACTTAATGTAACCCCTAACTCTGCAAGCTTTCCAGAAGGAAGAATAATATCACAACAGCTTTCCAAAAGAGGAACCCTGGGAAGGGAGATGGAACATTTGGAACATTTGAGAAATCTGGAAGGCCGTGGAGAGAAAAAACTTTGGCATGGGTTTTTAAAGGAGAAATTTTATAAAAGGTTTGGAAAGAAGTATATAAAGTCCAAATAAAAATAGTTTGGACAGAGATAATGAAGTTTAAGGGACGAAAGAACTTAACACATACTGCACACTGACATATTGGCCAAATCTAATGTAATGTTAGCATTATGCTAAAATGGCATGTTCCTGCCACTTTCAGTTCAGCCCTCACAACTCAGTCCAAAGAGACACACACCACTACACGCAGGACTTCCCATTCACTGAATAATATTCCATTGTCTGGATGTACCATCATTTATTCAGTCTCTCACCTACTGAGGAACACCTTGGTTGCTTCCAAGTTTTGGCCATTATGAGTAAAGCTGCTATAAATATACATGTGCAGATTTTTGTGTGAACATAAGTTTTCAACTCCTTTGAGTAAATATCAGGGAGCACAATTGCTGGATCATACAGTCAGGGTATGTTTAGCTTCTTTAAAAACTGCCAAACTGTCTTCCAAAGTGGCTGTTTCATTTTGCGTTCCCACCAGTAATGAACGAGTTCCTGTTGCTCCACGTTCTCAATAGCATTTGGTGTTGTCAGTGTCCTGGGTCTTGGCCACTCTAATAGATGTGCAGTAGTAACTCACTGTTGTTTTAATTTGCATTTCCCTGATGACATATGATGTGGATCATCTTTTCATGTGCTTATTTACCATCTGTACCTCTTTGTTGAGGTGTCTGTTCAGGTCTTTGGCCCATTTCTTAATTGGGTTTTTCATTTTCTTATTGGAAAGTTAAAAATATTCTTTGCATATTTTAGATAACACGTTTTTATCAGGTGCCTTTTGCAAATATGTTCTTCCAGTCTTTGGCTTATCATCTCATTCTCTCCACCGTGTGTTTCACAAAACAGAAATTCTTAGTTTTATGAAAATCCAGGTAATCAATTATTTCTTTAATGTACTGTGCCTTTGGTGTTGTACCTAAAAAGTCATTGCCATACTCAAGGTCATCTAGGTTTTCTCCTATGTCCTAAGAGTTTTACAGTTGTGCATGGTACATGTAGGTCTATCCATTTTAGGCTTTGTCAATACCTGTAGTTTAAAAAGCTGACTTCAAGAACTTGATGAGGCAGTAAAACTTACTTTATTAAATCTCAACTTTTGATTACATGTCTTTTCAATATTCTGTGTGATAAAATGAAGTGTACCTATAAAGCACTTCTGCTGCATTCCAAAGTATGAGAGTTACCTTCAGGAAAAAAAATGCATGCACTATTTTCATTGTCAAACTGAACCAGTAGTTTTTTCATGGAACAGCATTTTCACTTCAAAAACTGACTGACAGAGAAACCACGGTTATTCAGATTTGGGTATTTGGCAGACGCTGTCTAAAAAGTAAACACAGTAAGCCTGTCGCTTCAAGGATAACAACTGACAGTGCTCATTGCCAACGTAAAATTCAAACTTTCAAGCAGAAGTTGGGGTTTGGATAAACTATACACCACACTGAGCTTGACAATTTCCCAATTTTTCTGATTTTTCTGATGAGACTGATGGTGATAAGCAAATATGATATTTTAATACTGTACAATGAGATGTGTCAGCGTTTGGAAGATTAGCATAAGTCAGTCAACCAATGTTTTTCAAATGACCAATGTGTGTTATAACAAGTTACAAACTCATTCATGTATAAAAGAGGCATTCAAAGGACAAGACAGACAAATGGATTTTAATGTGACAGAATAGGAAAAGCATTGATATGATTTTAGATTCCGCATTGCAACTAACCTTTAAGAAACCACCAATTGCTGAGTTTTGGTGTAGTATCAAAGGAGAACATCCAGAATTATCTGAAAAGACTATGAAAATATTCATCCCTTTTCCAACTACCTGTTTGTGAGGGCCAGAATTTCTTTCTATACTTAAAAGAAAAATAACATATTAAAAAAAGATTGAACGCTAAAGCAGATATGAAGATCTAACTATCTTCTACATTAAGACAAACATTAAGATCTGCAAAAATGTAAAACACCACTCTTAATAAATTCTGTCTTGGAAAAACATTTACCTCACATAAAAGTGAGTAATTTGCGTGTATTAGGCCGTTCTTGCATTGCTATAAAGAAATACCTGAGATTGCATAATTTATAAAGAAAGAGTTTTAATTGGCTCATGGTTCTGCAGGATATAGAGGAAGCATAACACAAGCATCTGCTTCTGGGAAAACCTCAGGAAGCTTCCAATCATGGCAGAAGGTGAAGCGGGAGGAGGAGCAGGAGCAAGAGAGAGAGAATGAGGAGGTACCACACACTTTTAAACAACCAGATCTTGTGAGAACTATCACCAGGACAGCACCAAGAGGATGGTACTAAACCACTCATGAGAAACTGCCCCCATGATTTAAATATCCCCCAACAGGCCCCACCTCCAACAATGGGGATTACAATTCAACATAAAATTTGGGTGGGGACACAGACCTAGACCATATCACTGTGTTAACATGAAGTGAGTTTTGGCATTATTTTAAAATGAAGTGACTATTTTTGTAATATCTCAGTTTTAGTTTCCAATACAGTAAATATTAGTAGATATAACTCACATAAACAGAAGCTCCATAGCTGGGCTGTCCACATGGTGGTGACTAGTCACATGTGGCCCCTGAACCCTTGAAATATGATTAGTCTGAATTGAGATATACTCTAAGTATAAAATATATATTGGATTTTAAAGACAGTATAAAAAAATGTAATATTGCTCGATTTTTATATTAGTTACATGTTAAAAATATTTTGGATTTATTGGGAAATATCAGCTTTACGTTTTTAAACTTACTGTAGCTACTAGAAACTTTTAAATTGCATATGTAGCTTGTATTTTTGATTTGCATTATATTTCTATTGGACAGTACTAGTCTATAAAGTCCTCAATTTTTAAGTGTGTAAAAAGGTCATGAGACTAATGGTTAAGGAACTGCTGCTCTATAGAGACACGAATCAGTTAAAAAAAAAATCCAAACCTATAAATCTAGACATTTAAGGGGCCCAACAAGACACAGAATTACCTCACAGGGAAAACCACCACCAATCACGAAGGACAGACTAGAGACTCACTCAAATATGAACAATGTAAGGTTCACCCAGCATTTGTGGGAATCCTGTACCATAAAAGCCAGAGGAGACTAACATAAATAAAAAGAAAAAATAAATAACCCTAAGGAAAGATCAATAAGGCAAACAGCAGAAGAAAACTTCAAAAAGACTTTTATACCCTCAGAGAAATGAACAAATATTGCACCCATACAATAGCTATGCTTAAAAGGAATAAAACAAAGTTCATAAAGCAACAAAGAGCTCTTAAAAATAAAACTTTTGATGGCAAAATTTAAAGTCAATAGAAAGTTAAGATAAACCTTAGAAAATGTTACAGAGAATACAACAAAAAGACAAAGAAAGGGAAAATAGGTGGCCAAAAAAAAGAAAATTAGAAGAGTGCTCCAGAAGGTCCAAAACGCAATAACAGAACCAGAAAGAGAACAACTGAAAAACTGTGTGTCTTGAGAATAGGCGAAGGATAAAGAAATAATGTTTCCCAAAACTGAAAATCTACAGATTGAAAGGCTCTAATAAATGCTCAAAGTGCACAGGACAATAAATGGTTTAAAAACCCACAGACATCATGAAATTTCAAAGAACTGGAGGCGGAAAATGCAGAGGCTTGGAGGTACAAGGCAGGTAAAAGGTGGCCTTCTCAACAATAATACTGAAAACTGAAAATAATAGCATACTGCCTTCAAAATTCTGAAAGAGAATGACTTCAACCTAGAATTTCAAACCTTTGTAATAAAGCATGAGTAAAGAATAGACATTTTCAGACATAAATGTCAAAAAAAATATATCTCCTGAGAATCCTTTCCCAGAAATTGACCAGACATGTCTGAAATATATTTAAAGAAATATCACTAAACAAACAAAATGAAACCATTATAAAACCAGGGAAAGAGAAAAAAAATACATGTACAAGTATCCTGTGTGACTCAGCTTTCAACAATATTTTATCATCATACTAATACAAAAACTGAATACTGATCTCACCAACATTTTTAATTAATGAAGCAGGATGCATAGGAAGAGAGAATGAGGGATGGGAACTGGGAAGAAAAAATAAAAAAGAACTAAACTATTATTTATCATAGATCACCTGAAAAGGTCTTAATATTAAAAATCAAGAAATATTCACTCAAGCATATTGCTGATAAATGAGAAGAAACACAAGTTGAAAGTGGTTGCTTCCAAAGAGTAGGGAGGGGTGGGTGGGGCATGGCATTGCTGATATTTGTTAAAAACCTTGTAATACATGCAGTTTTACATGTCTTACTTCAGTGAGTTTAAAATAAATTTAAAATATTTAAAATATCAATAAGAGGAATACACACTTAACTTTATAAATACATATTAACAAAATACAGATATATACATGCACAGACAATTGCAAAGAAAATTGGAAGTTGTAAATTTTTGTTGACAAAGCAAACCAATCTATGAAAAGCTAAGAAGATCAAAGAAATGTATTTGTAAATTTTGAGAATTTCCCATCCAATTTTTGTTCTAAACTAAACATAACTGGGAAGAAAAGACAGTCTCCTATCTAACGTTTCACCAGAGATCACAAACTGGGCACCCGCAGGCTGATGCAGTCCACCTACAGGTCTATACTCCTTGGGCTATATGGTTTGTTGTTGTTCCTGTTGCTTAAAAATCAGGCCAAACTGCAAAAGAACCAGGCTGCCATCTCATCTGGTAAAAGCAAAAGTCGGGCCACTGGTGGCCTGCATTCTACATCGAGGCAACAACCAGCTGCTGCTGAGCTGGGACATCCCAGTGTCTACAACATTTAGTATCTCACATCTCACACCAAATAGTGTGTATTTCTCTGCACATACTCCTATAAATAAGAAACAGAAGACAGATCAAGAAGATCTCATATTTCAAGAATAATCAATATGACATCTGTGTAGAAATGAAGGAAATTCTCACTGTCTAAAATGCAACAGATGCATATTTCACCAGTTACTTGTCTAACTCCTGAAATGATCTGAGTCTGAGACTCCTGGTTTAAAAGTCAATAGGCTTTGAACAGACTCAACCTTAACCATCAAAGATCCACTCAATTCATTTTTGCGATATCCTGCAAGCTTGCACATATATATAGATATAGATATAGATTTATATAGTTGTTGTTGTTCCTATACCCTACACAACTTTTAGATATGGGATGTACGCAAATGGATTTTTAAAAGTGGATCAGTATATTTTAAAATAATTGGAGACTTTGTCCGAATTAGTCCATACATGTATATAGTAAGAACATTAAGAATATGGGACTGCTTTCCCATTTTCTTCCTTTCGTTGTTTATATATATCTTACATATTATAATCTTACTGATGCTAAAAGTCTGCAAGTTATAAACCTTATAAAGGAGATGAGGAAGAACAGGAGAGGTCGTATAACTTTAAAACAGACTTTTTATATTAGTTTTATTTACATACCACGAGACAATCTCCAAATGACCTCTGCCTTCCAAAGTAACATTTTAACCAAAGTGACAGAGAATGGAATGCTACCTTAGAGTCGAAAGCGAGATAAAAGGTAGAAGTCCTAATCTGCTGCTGTACATAGCATTATTCATGACAAGGGTTTCCCCACTTTCTTAGACAGGGGTCAAAATGTCAGTTTTAACTATGTAGCAAATTTTAATAGGATGTTTCTAAGTAAGTACCATAGAGGGCTACAAGGATTTCTTCCTCTGTAGCACATTCGGAATGACACTAGCTGCTTCTCACCTGGTCCCAGGAGTAGTCTCCCAACCAATTTCCCTTCATCTCTGATACATTAGGACTCATGCTGAGCTAACCACTCCCCTAACAGGACTGAGATCAGAATAAGAATTTTGTTTTGTATTTACAAAACATCAAAGTATGAACAAGAAAACTCTCACTGACCTGGATATAGAATTATTCTGCCAAAAAAAAGTGCTACTCAATTCTCTGACCGCTGCTGGAGGGATGGTATGAGAGAAATGATTTCGAAAAGCAGGAAATGCAGTTTGGGAACAATCATTTTCAGTGTACATTGTAAAATGTCTTTGGAATCTTCAAAAATCTGAGTAAATTGTATCAAGCATATATCAACTGAATTTTATATACTAGAAATACTGTTATGTAAATAATAAATACTTCCAATTGTTGGACAGCTGTAACATGGATTGGAACCACTGGCCATGTATTTGTTCTTAGGGTGCTCAGAGGTGGGGAGATGATGTTTCTCCTTCTATCTAGAGAGAGAAGAGGCACCTGTCCTGAAGTAGACTAACATATCAAAGTGGTTCTATGAAGGACAAGGGGCAGGCACGGTGGCTCCTGCCTGTAATCCCAGCACTTTGGGAGGCCAATGCGGGTGGATCACCTGAGGTCAGGAGTTTGAGACCAAGATGTCTGGCCAAGATGGCAAAGCCCAGTCTCTACTAAAAATACAAAAATTAGCTGGGCATGGTGGTGTGCATCTGTAATCCCAGCCACTCGGGAGGCTGACGCAGGAGAATCGCTTTAACATGGGAGGTCGAGGTTGCAGTAAGCCAAGACCGTGCCACTGCCCTCCAGCCTAGGCAACAGAGGGAGACTCCATAAAAAGGACAAGGGAACAATAAGTCAGAATAATGCCGATAGACTACTTAACAAATCATTGTAAATATTTGCCATATTACATTAAGAAGAACAGATTTAATAATTGTTTAGTACTACTTGTAAACCAAAAATGAAATCCTAAGCCCCCCAACTGTCTGAATGGATGTCCCTCATGGCCAAGGGGACTCCAGAGAAACCTGAAAAACTGAATTTCCAGCCACGATGGGAAGGGAGGTGGGACAAACCTCCTTAAACCTCTTCTCTCTGGGAGTTTAGGCATAACTGGCCAGCATTAACATTGAAATTGGCATCATAAGACTGAAAAAACAGACGCTTTGTGGCAATAAGACACCAAGTTCCAACCTGACTCTGGTATAGAGTCACATGTAGACCCTGAAGGAAATCAAAATATCTTACTTCAACATATATTTATTTGACATATATTTTTTCATATCTTGAAATGACCCTATAAAGCCTTCTCTTTTAAGGGAAATTTGCATATGTAGAGAATGTCTGCTAATACAGCCAGGTCTCTCATTTAATCTCTTATTTAAAGGAAAGACCCTTTCTAGGTCTTTCCTGCATCTAGAAGAGATTAGATGAGAGTCTGACACCTTTAAGGTTCAAAAAGAGACATTTATCATCTATTCTCTCTGAAGGATGCTACCTGGAGGCTTCATCTACACAGCAAGAACACTGGACTATATAACTCCCCTTATCTTAACTCAAACATTTCTTACTACTGACTTCATTTAGAAAAAGCATAACTCTTTCAACCAATTTTCAACTAGAAAAGCTTTGAATCCTCCCATGACCTGTAACCCCCACTCCCGACTACTTCAAGATATCCCAGTTCTTTAGGCTAAACCAATGTACATCTTCCATATATTAATTTATTATTTTACTTACACTTTCTGTCTCCCTAAAATGTATAAAACCAAACTATAACCTGACCACCTTGGGCACACCTTCCCAGGACCTCTTGAGACTGTTCCCCAGGCCATGGTCACTCATATTGGCTCAGAATAAGCCTTTTGAAATATTTTACAGAGTTTGGTGTCTCCTTTAGCATATGGAACTTTAATCCTTCCGAGATGCCATTTTCCAATTGCAGAATATGTAGCAAAATATTTTGGGATTCATAAAAAATAAGTTGATGTTAGAATACATTATGCTTTAACTTGATACACTCAAAGACTTAATTTTAAAAATCAAAACTTTCCAAATAGATCCAAATATCTACTGAGAAAGGCTAATCCTGCCTCCTGGAGAATAAACTACCTTAAGAACATTTTAATTTAACTTTAAAAACAAAAGTCTGAATAAAGTGACAACTTTTAACTAGCAAATCTTAAAAGGAGTATAACTCCAGAGCAATATAACAGGGTATTACCTGAATAGCCATAATTATACAACTGGAATTATTTATGCTACAGGGAGACAAAGTCAGATTATTGAAGACACAGGCCCACACTTTTGTTTTAAATCAGGTTTCACAGTTCTCTCTCACCCACAACACAGTAAATTGTATCCATTCTTCTTTTGCTCTGAGAAACTTAAAGACTAAAACCCTTGCAGCTTCCCCAATATCATCACACTGCAAAAGCATAGAAGTCTTGTATGCATATGCAGGAGCAGGGAGGAGGGGGAGTAACAGCAGATATTGCCAGAGTCAGGGCATCATAATCTACTGTCTGGGTAATTCCTGGATAATTTGAGATCCCTGTGAAATGAATGTCACCAACACTCCCAAAAATCTACTGAGCCAACCAACTGATTTATCTGTGCTAATAAAGAGTTTATGCTTTCAGGACACATCACACCCTGATCCTGTCTCCTTCCAGGCATAGCACTGAGAAAATAAGACCCAGCCAATTCAGAACAATTCCTTTTGGCTTGAGATTCTGGGAGCAAAGGAGCATGCTGCACAGCTTTATTCCGTGTCCTCCCCATGGAGATGCACAGCCACCCACACACACTAAGGGTAGAAGAATGGGAAAGGGCAGATATTTCTTTCCCGGGAAAAAAGCCAGAGTGAAAGTTTTGGAGGATATAAACATGTAACAGCTAGTGGAGAGCCATAGAAACCTTCTCCCCAAGCAAATGTGCTTTGCTGTAAACTTTCCTTGCCCCTTACAATATTTAGTGTTGTGTTAATGCAAATATTTTTTTAAATCCACAAGCCTGTGCTGTTTAAAATGCCTAAAATTAAAAACAAATTCCCCCCTGTTGCCTGTCTGAAGCCACCAATACATCCACTCTTTATCATCACAGATATTTATGCAGTAGCTAACTGCTGGGGCTGCAAACCATCTTGCAAACTTCTCCTTGCCTGTGCTGCCAGGATTCTAAACTAAGGGTCCCATTGAACACTTTAAACACAACAGGGTGTGCACATGGGCATCATTCTAGACTGAGGGTTCCTAAATGTCCAAATTGTCAAAGGGGTCCAAGTCCTTAATAAATGCCATAGCTTTAACAGGATTACAATTTACATGAACAGGTCTATTCTTCCAGTCATCTAGATCAGCTGTAAAACTCCCAAGGAACAGAACTCTAAGCAACCTATTTACAGTGAATCCCTCTCTCGCGAAGTCTGTTAGTACAGGTCCCTGAAGGAGTGTGAGGCTACACCCTTAACTCCAGTTCTCTGGGCACTCAGAACAGCTGATCTTTAGTGTAGCCATCCCCCTCATATCCTTCATTTCCTTGATTCCCAAATCCTTTGTTCCCACTGTATAATCCTTTTTTTTAAAATAATTTTCTTCCTTTTCTTAACCTCTACATATTTGTTGACACAATTCTCAAAAT
The DNA here is from genome assembly GCF_000001405.40 of Homo sapiens. Classification (NCBI taxonomy): domain Eukaryota; kingdom Metazoa; phylum Chordata; class Mammalia; order Primates; family Hominidae; genus Homo; species Homo sapiens. The sequence goes on along the minus strand of NC_000002.12, from coordinate 204,607,566 downwards.
GAAAAGTAGATACACGTGCACTGCTTTCTAGTCCTTACAAGGCCCAGTCAAACCATGTAATGTTGGCAACTTAACAAGTTTAACAGAAGCCTTACTCAGCTAACATATTCAGTGAATTATGATCGAAGGTCCTTTACTTGCCATCCTCTATTTGCCTTCTCTAATAGCTATTCCCATAGTAGCCCATGTCTACTGCACTTTCCTAGATGTATAAACTACTTAGAACTCCTTAAAGCAAAGTTCTATACTGATCCTTCATAAGGATTACGGTATAAAACAGAAATCCTCCCAATTTTTTGTTAAGTAAATGTAATCATTCGTCTATATGATAATCTGCCCCTATAATTTCCTTTGGGATACCATCTTAAACTTTGAGGCACTGAATATTATCATATATTTATGGGATATCTTTCCATTTTGCTAAGATCATTAAATTATTAAACACGCTTAACTTGGTAGAACTCAGAACCCTAGTGACTATGCCAAGGATTCTATTTTGCAGTCCCTCAGTGGTAATTCTGGTATGCTGCCAGAAATAAGTATCAATCTCAAGTCTTGCTAACCAGTATGTACTTTAAAGCAAGAATCAAAGTGGAGGACAGGTGCAAGAAAACAATGTCTTTCTTTAAAGGTAAATATATGAAAAAGATACGGGATTGTTCAAGGCTTTAATATTTCCCAGAAAAACCACACACACAAACAAAACTGCTACTTTAAGATTTTGTTTTACTCTCCCTGGACAGAGCAGCCTCCAAACGAGATATAAAGGACTCTCAGTAGTCTTAACTGAATTGAATTCCATTAACTTAATGAGGTGCATGCAGGTCAAACCTTTAAAACAGTTTGGGCATATTAACCTAGAAGAATCTTACCGGAATAGGTAATGAGACCAGTGCGTCATCTGTGGTAGCCACTGGAGCTTCTTCATAAATGGTTGATTCTCCTATTCTGAGCACATAATAGAATCACACTTTTCCACCTACAAGAACTTCAGTGTGACCATGTAAGTGGCCAACGAAATGTGAGCAGAAGTAACATGGGTCTCTCTGTGCAGAAGCTTTAAAAGTCAGTGCATTTATTTCTACTTCTCTTTTCTATGCTTCTGGATCATGGAAAAATGTTTAAGATGGAGCCTTCATCAGCCAGGGACCCTGACTGATACAGTCAACAGATCCCCTTATTGACTCACCATGGACAAAAGCATGACTGAGAAACTAAAGTACTAAAAAAGTAGTCCTCTTAGTACTAAAAAGTACTAAAGCCACTGAGGTTTCCAGATTCTTACTGCAGCATAATCTAGCCCTTCCTGACCCTCAACACAACTGATTTTAAACACCAATACATAAGGCGCTGCACTATGCCACATGTGTGGCAAACTCAAAGACAAAAATCTGATCCAGGTATTGACCTCAAGAAGCATATATCGGAGTTGGAGAGACAAAACCTGACCACATGTCACAGTGAAATGAGATATAAAATTCCAGTTTCCATCTACTGAAAACCCTCTAAAGCACTTCTTGGTAATATCATGTCCCAATGGAGAGAGGGAGAGAAGATCCCTTTTCACTGAGAAGCAATAGCACGAGTAAAGGGAAAGACAGAAAACAGGCAGACAGCACAGAAGACAACTGGGTGAGGCAGCATGGATTACAAGAATAGCCATAGGAAATGAGACTGAAAATACAAGGTACAACAGAACAGGACAGGTCTTGAATGCTATGCCATAAAATGTTAGCAGCAATAATAATAAAACAACCATTACTGTCCCAGCACATTCTAATGACATTGTATATCCTCTTCATTAACTCTTATAATCACCCACTGAGGTGGATATCATTATAATTCTCTTTTTTACGGATGACAAAAGCAAGGTGCAGATAGAGTGCACTGCCCAAGGTCACGCAAAACCAAGACACGAACCCAGAGAGTCTCACTCTAGAGTTCATGATATTAACCTCTACACTATACTTCCATCACAGAACCTTAGACCGTCTAAACAGTCTTCCATAATAGGAGATGAGACACATGTACAGTTTTAGGAAAAAGACTTCCATGATCAGCATTCACACCTCAAAAAGATTACTTGTGCCATATATAAAACGGATCAAAGTAAAAAGAGACTGGTATGTAGAAGGATATACCTTTTAGAAATCACTGAAACTAATCAGGTGAAAGACAATGAGCCCTTATATTAAGATAGTAACTAATGACTATGAATCAATAATTCAGAAATTTATGACATGGTCATAGCAATGTGCCTTCTGCCTATTAGTGTGTGAGAGTTTAAAGATGGCTGTGAGTTCTTTGCTACTCCTCTCATTGGCATGGAAAGTCTAATTCCCCTCTCCTTGAATTGGGGCCTTCTTTCGGACTTACTTGATCAACAGATTGTGGCAGAAACGATGGACTGGCATTTCTGACACCAGGTCACAAGAAGCCTTGCAGCTCTGCTTGGCTCTCTTGAAGCACTCTGTCTGGCCATATCCTAAGAGCCCAGAGTTACCTTGTAAAGTAGTACAAATACCTTGCTAAGAGGCTTTGTCAAAAATTCCCAGCACTACACAAAGAGGGTCCCAGCTGGGCCCAGCCTTCCAGTCATCCCTACCAAGGGGCCAGGCATGTGAGTTAAGCCACTGTAGACCCTCCAGACAAGGCACCAGATGAATATCACTAAGTGACTCCAGTTGACACTGTGTGGAACAGAAGAATACCCCATCCAAATTCCTGACCCACAAGCCCAAGAGATATCATAAAATAAATATGTTAAGGCAATACATTTTAAGATAGTTTGCTATGCTGGAGTAGAAGGCTGGAATGCACTGTTTATTAAAGGAACTCTAAATATCAATCTACTATATCAAAATCACTCAGGATCCTCAGCCCCTCCACTCACCCTGAAGGAATTAGAATCTGTGCATATGGCTCAAGACCAGCATTTTCAGCAAATCCTACCATGCAGGTGCTTCTTACATTAAAGTTTAAATACTCAGTCATTTTAGAAGTTCAAAACCTACATAAATTTTTTTAATCTCAGCGTGTTTCAGGAAACAGTTTAAAACATATGACTTTCAGGAGCAGATATCTGTGCTCTAAAAATGTCCATTGGAAAGACTGGATGTTAAAACAGCATTTAAAGGGGAAACATAAATTTTTAAAAGCTTAGCTTTTATGCCAGGACACTTACCACCACACAGACTGCAGATTGTATTTTCTTACTGAGCTAATAATAAAACCTTTTTTCTGATACCAAGAATTCCAGAATGGAATGTACAGAACATGAATAACCCCTCACCCTTCCTTCTCTAACAAAGCATGGTCACTGTCCAATTCTCAGTGGTGAGGAAAAGCACTCAGGATGTCAAAGGCACAGGAGAGTAGACTGTTTTATTTCCTATAAGAGAAGTATTCCCTCTGAAAACAGTTAACATTCAGGGACTAGAAACGAGGTCACTAATGACAAATGTAATCGCCTCCACAGTTGTCTTCTCAGCCTCATCACATATTATTCAAGTGTGAACAGAAATGACCAAAACCCTTCAACAAATATTTATTACTCACCCAGCAGGTAGGACCTACTATGTGCCAGGGAGTTATGAATCTGATAAAACAAAATTACCCAAGGATTTAGAAAGAGAAAGCTGGATGAACCAGATAATATCACTTCAGTTTGTGCCCAGGCGGGATTATCCTGGAAAGGTGTAAAGTTGTCTCCTAAAGTGGGAATTTAGCCAGAAAATAAACACAGATCTTTCACACAAACATGAAGCACTCCTCCAACTTTGAAGCATTCTTCCAATGGTTCTGTTGGGTTTACAAGCCTAGTTTCATATTCTTTTTGTGCCCCCTGTGAGTCCCCTTTGCCAAATACAATTGTGCTGGAGTGATCAAGTGTGGTCTGTAAAGTGGAGTTTTTAAATCAAGGTGTAGTTAACAGACATTAAGGTCTTATGTTTTTGTAACAAATGATTATAAGGACGACAAAAATGTCCTATGTTATGATCTTTAAAAAAAAAAGTAGTATTAAAGTAGAATGTTTTCAATGTTTTCATTATCTGTTCCTGATAGTCCTCAGAGATCCAAACAATTTCCACTGACTTTGTGGATTACTTTACTTCTCAGTACTTAACTTGCCCCAGTAGAGAAATGAACAAACAATAACCACTGAAACAGTTTGTATGAGGATTCCTGAAATAATACTGGTGAATTAATCATGACCTACAAATTACTTCAACTGCAGCTAAAATAAAGTCTTTCTAATACAAAACGTGTTATTAGGAAGTCAGATCCAGAAAAATTAAGAAAATTCTCAAAGAGGTTGACAGACTGCAAATTTAATAAAATAGGAGTAAAAAAGGCATAAAAGAAAATTAAATTAGATGCCTCAGGTTATGTGATAAGGATTCAGTACCTTTAACTTTTCAGACTTAAAGAACGTTCCATCTATCTACCCTTCCTCATTCCTGTGCTGAGCAGGAAGGCTCTTTTATGGACCCTCTTTAGAGTTTCATAGGATATTATCACCTAGCATCAGTAATATCAGTCTTGTGAATTGTTTTTCTAAAAGTAACAAGGGGTTTATTTCAATTATTCTGATTCTACAGCTTGATTCAAAGCATTCATTGAGTATCTGCTAAGGAAACAATTGTGTTGGTCAATATGGCAATATAGAGTGGCATAAAGATAGCTCCTTATCCATCACAAACACAGCTGGAGAAATAGAATACATTTTATAAAATCCAAACGACCAAATGAGTGGTCGGGAGACACTTAGAGTATCAACAACTGGCTTACACAATATGCCATCTTCTAACCATGATAAGAGGTATAAGGATGGTCTGTACGTTATATTTGTATCTCACCCACCCCCACCAACAATCAACACAGAGCCCTTTACACAATAAGGGTTGATTTGATCTCTCTTTTAAATAGGGACCCTCATTAATGAGAGTTGGGGATACAGTCTGTGACAATGGAAAAAGGTAACGGGCCATAATGCAGATTAAAGTACAAGGCTCTGACCTAAACTGACATTTTACTAACCACAGATTAGGAATGGTGTGTGTAGAAATAATAACATTTTGCCTCCTCTTGAACTCAACAGTTTTGTTTTTATTTTTTTTTAAACTGTTTTTATTTTTTTTAAACTGTGTCTTTGTACTATTGTTTAAGAAAGTCCTTGGGCAGGGTTGGGGAAAACAGAACTCAATTAAGAGACTGAAAATTAAAAGACGGTCAAATAAAATGAGCACATCTTGGACGAGACACACCTAGGAGTGAGAGGAGAGAAGTTCCTTGGAAAGCAACAATGAAACATCTGATACTTGTATTGTTGAGCAGATCAACAAAGTGTTTGCACAAGCAATATGTCATTTATTCTGTCCATTTGATGAGACTTTTGGCTCCATTGTGCAAAACAGAATATTTAGGCTCAAGGAGTAAATGGCAAGTGACAGAGCTGAGGTCCAAATTTGTATTTTGTCTCATTCTTCAAGATGGGGCTATCTACCCTAGATGAGAAATAACTCCCTGTAATGACAGGATCAAAGTCAATGATCTCTGGTTTTAGCCTCTTCCATGTCTAAAGTCGCCATAATTATAAAAGAAAGGATAGCAACTACCTGCACACCACCTTCAGAGGGGCCAGAAACACAAACAGCTTATATCAACTTCATTGTAATTAAACAAAGGAGAAATTTCTATAAATGCCTAGAATTCCTTAAGAAGAGAAACTACCTATTTGAATAATGTAGATGAAATCTTGCCTTTGAACTACTCAAGATTACTTCCAGAACTTGCCTTTTAGTCTTACAGTGACCACTGGCATAAATTTTCATTTAGATTTGAACAGCATTCCTGGGATAACAGTGACAATCACTTTCACCAAGTTTCCTACGCCTAAATTCAGCAGTTCACGAACTGCTTAAGCTCTACATTGATTGTTTTTCTTGTAACAAGAGATCTACATATTAAAGCACTGGTTCTTGATTCATGAAGAAAATCATTTTGGGAAGCCTATTTATTTTAAAAATATCATTTGCATATAAAAATTCAAAATTCATATCACATACCATAATCATTCTTCAATTAAGCAAATTTGATGAGGAATTCTAATAAGGTTTCACAATTAAGCTTTTTATATATTAAAAAACAATATAGCAATCACCATCTAACATGTAAGACCTAACCACTGCAAAGATGATGTTCTAAATTTGAACTTGAAAGGAAAACCCATCAGCGTGCCTGCTTGATTTCTTTAATCTATTCATGTAGGTTAATTACCTGACACTCATTAAGATGACTCTGGGCTTCTTTAAATTTCTGACCATATTAACCTCTCCAACTAATCCTTATTAGAAAAATATTAAAGAGTGTTCATTGCTATTACAAATTGAATCTGAAATGATGAAACAATTATCAAATAAATGGAGTAGAAAACGAGGTTATATGCATGAGAAGATTCCATGCATCAGATATTTTACTTCCATTATTTTAAAATACAGGTCTTAAGGTCCGTATCCAGGAAATGTGCTTAACGATCAGTCCCTGAAAGAAATTTCTCCACTCCATTCTTGTCCAATGGGTTGACAAACAAAATCCCCAAGTTCATCCATAATAGATTTACTCAGAAAAAAAAAATCCTATTTTAAACTAAACAGTTGGACAGAAAGATTCAACTATCTAGCTCAGTAAGTCCACACATGACAATCATTTAATATTATGTATATATATTACATTCTATATAACTCATTTTGTAAATGAGTTGAAAGAGAGGCTAGTCAATGATGGAAAGAATACAGGTCAATATCACAAAAGCATGAAATGTGAATGAGATGTTACTTTTAAAAACTGAAACCTTATCACTTCTACTTTAGGATAAAAAAGGAAATTAAAAACATTTTTCCTCTCTAGGCAAACTTCATTTAAAAATTTAAAAATTTCCCTATGACAAAAAGAACAAAGCTGCAGGCATCACAGTACCAGACTTCAAAATATACTACAAAGCTATAGTAACCAAAACATCGTGGTACTGGCATAAAAGCAGGCACACAGACCAATGGAACGGAATAGTGAAACCAGCAATTAACCTATGTATGTACAGCTAATTGATGTTTGACAAAGGTGCAAAGAATATTAAAGAAAGAACAATCTCTTCAATAAATGGTGCTAGGAAAACTAGGTATCAATAAGGAAAAAAGAACAGACTCCCATCTCTCTATACAAAAATCAACTCAAAATGGATTAAATGTCTTACATAATGTAAGACATGAAACTATGAAACTAACAGAAGAAAACACAGTGGAAACACTTTAAGACATTGGTTTGAAAAAGGATTTTATGAATAACACCTCAAAAGCACAAGCAACAAAAGCATAAATAAATGGGATTATATACAAACTAAAATGATTCTGCACAGCAAAGGAAACAATCAGAGAAAAAAGGCAACCTACAGAATGGCAGAAAATACATGCAATCTGACAGGGGATTAATATTCAAAATAAATAGGAACTCAAAGAGCTCAATAGCAAAAAAAAATCCAATTTAAAAATGAGCAAATGCTCTGAACAGGTATTTTTCAAAAGAACACATATAAATGGCCAAAAAATATGTGAAAAAATGCTTAACATCCTACTCATGAGGGAAATGCAAATCAAAGCCATAATGAGATATCATGTCACCCCAGTTAGAATGGCTATAATCAAAAAATAAAAATTAAAAAAAAATGCTAGTGAGGATGCAGAGAAACAGGAACACTTATACACTGTTGGTGGAAATGGAAACTAATACAGTCACTGTGGAGAACAGTATGGAGGTTCCTCTAGAAACTACAAATAGAACTACCATATGATCCAGCAATCTCACTATTGGGCATTTACCAAAGAAAAGGAAATCAGTGTATCAAAGAGATATTACACCCCCATGTCTATTCTAGCACTATTCACAACAACCAAGATATGGAATCATCCTAGGAGTCCAATGAAAGATGAACTGATACAGAAAATGTGGCATATATACACAATGGAATATTATTAAGCCATAAAAAAGGATAAAATCCTGTCATTCTAGGCAAAAGAGATTGAATTGGAGGATACCAGGTTAAGTGAAATAAGCCAGGAACAGAAAGTCAAACACTACATGTTCTCACTCATATTTGGAAGCTAAAAAATGGTGATCTCATAGAAGTAAAAAGTAAAACAGAGGATACTAGAAGCAGGGATAGGTAGGGGGAAAAGAGGTAGGGAGAAATTTGTTAAGGGATGCAAAATAATAGCTAGATGGGAAGAGTAAGTCCTAGTGTTCTAAAGTACTGTAGAATGATTATGATTAACAATAACATATATTTTCAAATAGCTAGAAAAGAGGATATTGAATGTTTCCAACAAAAAGAAATGATAGACTTTTAAGATGATGAATATACTAATTACCCTGATCTGATCACTGTGCCTTCACTGTATGTATCGAAAGATCACCAGGGTTCTTGCAAAAAGAAAAAACAATGTCTTTTTTTTTTCAAACTGTAAATAGCAACAACCAAAAAGGAAATACAAGTGGCAAAATCTATCCATAGAGCAACAATTAACTTCATTAGTAATGTCTTTTAAATGGGAAAAATGTTTTATCTTCCATATTGATGAAAAGAAAAAAAGACAGCATTCTCAAACACAGCTATTAGCAGCATTGACAGGATCTCTTACCAAGTTCTCTAGAAAGACTATATCAAAGTTCTAAAAACATGTACATCCATTGATCTAGTAGATCCCATTAAGAAATTGACTTAAGGAAATAATGATGGATACGTAAAAAACAGGGAGAATGAATGTTTACTACAGAGTGTTTGTTACTGTGAAAAATTTAAAACAAATTGTTAATATAGAACAATGGGGTACTGCTTAATTTTGTGATATATGCATGCAATATAATATTGTACACATACATACTTGCATACATACACATTTAATTTAGCATATATAAATTCCATGTGTCTGGTATTGTTCTAATCTTTTATAAATATTAATTCATTTAATCCCCATAATGGCCCTATCATATAGGCACTATAATTATCCCCATATTACAGATGAGGAAATCGAGGCTATAGGCTAAATATCCTGCCCAAAGTTACACAGCCAGTAGGAGAAACAGCTGGGACTTGAACCCAGATAAACTACCCCTGTAGTCTTGAGTTCTAAAGGATATGTACAACAGCACATAAATAACAGTTATCTCTGATAGTGGGATTATGAGTAGAATTATACTCTTAATTTTGCCAGGTTATATTTTCTAATTTTCCAACTTGAACATGTATTATTCTTAAAAGAATAAAGTTTGCTTTTTTTAAATTCACAAATAAAAGAACTACCCAGGAAACAGGTAAGATAGAAAAGGTAAAGTCCAAATAATCTACGTAGAGATGACAGTTGCAACTTCAGGATGGAAACAAAGGAGTAAATGAGACAAAAGCAGAAGGTCACAATCTGAGTTTAACTTTTAATTTGATAGTCTTAACTGGTCAATATCAAATTCCCCTCTAGAAAGCTATTCATTTGGAGCTATGTTTCCAAAATGCTCTTACACATAACAATAATTCTATGGGACATTAATAGATGTGCTACATAGGAAGGCACCATAATCATTAAACACTGGACTAAACAAAGGTACAGTGATTTCTTTGATGCAGGATATATTTACATATTCAGTGACTCTTCCAGAGACAAATATTTCCTAAATTATCTTTCCATAAAACATGTTTCCAAAGATCTCTTCATAATACCAAGGGTCTATAAAGGCATCCTCTGCAAAAAGCTGACTTGGAGTATTTCCATTCATTCACTCATTCATTCAATTACCAAGTGCCTATAATGTACCAGGCTCTACTCTGGACAGCAACACATGCTAATAACAGAAGACTTGAGTTCTGGTCCCAGCTCACTATTGACTGGCCCACTTAAGAGCATTTACTTAAGAGTAAAAAAGGGTCAACATCACCTGCTCCCCAGCCCTTCTGAGATGTTCAAGAACTGAAATAAGTTTGCAAAGCACATTCACACATGTTAGCAGTAGAATATTATGCAAACAATTGCCTTTTCTCCATATTCTAGGCTACATTGACACTTAAACTGGCTTCCTGTAGTTCCCATCACATTACCTGGACAGGCAAGAAAATTTAAAAAGCATTTTCAGGGGCACTCTCAGCAGTAAACACAAAGCATCCACACCTGGAGACTTTTTAAGTGTCCATATTTATTAGTGAGGATTTGTGAGAATTTCTCATTTATCCTATGGGCATCATTAAGATCGCTACCAAAAAAAAAACACGCATCGGCTCCTGCCACATAAGAAAAATTCATCCATTCGCAGAAATGACTTGTGGAAGCATTACACAGAACAATGGAATACAAAGTCCTCATCAAAGATCATGGGCACCGCAAAAATCAAGCCAATGAGTTAGACAAGCTAATTTCCCATACCCAATTCTGCAGCCAGCTTGATTCCTTAAAAGCCTGAAATTGCTGCCTTTACACAATTTAGAGACCACAAATACGAATGTTCCATGCAGTTATTTTTCTTAGGTTTATCTTACATGAAAAATTATATATAATATATATATAGAGAGAGAGAGAGAGAGACAGATAGAGAGAGAGAGAGAGAGAGAGTGAGTGAGTTTCTCTCTTGTTGCCCAGGCTGGAGTGCAATGGTGCCATCTCACCTCACAGCAACCTCTGCCTCCCGGGTTCAAGCAATTCTCCTGCTTCAGCCTCCTGAGTAAATGCATGTGCCACCACACCCAGCTAATTTTGTATTTTTAGTAGAGACGGGGTTTCTCCATGTTGGTCAGGCTGGTCTGGAACTCCCAACCTCAGGCGATCCACCTGCCTCGGCCTCCCAAAGTGCTGGGATTACAGGCATGAGCCACCGCGCCTGGCCAAGTTTAGCTTACATGAAAGATTATTGGGAGTGTTCTATGTTTTTGCACCTGACAAGTGTGTTTGCTTTTTCCAAACCAACACTTCATATACTTTTCTACAAGGTAAACAATCCTCTAAAGGCAGCAAAAGAAGGTCCCTCTAAGAGCAGCAGGATTCACCCTTGAACCCTGAAGTCAGGTTTCAAAAAAGGATACAAAAATTTGAAAAATAATTTTTCAGTATGGCTCCACTATTACACAGAAAGCCCTGCTCCAAGACTTCCAGCATCTCCCAAAAGAAAAACAAATAGGAACAAAATAGGAAAAAAATATGAAAGAAAAACAATGAAGCCACATTGATCAGTGGTTAATGATTTGAAGAGCTGGATGATGGATACTTGTGGGGTAAGGAAGGCTCATAATCTATTCTATTTGTATGAGTTTGAAATTTTTCACAAAAAGTTTGTTCAAAGCAAAAAAGGAGGAAATCATGGTTATTAGACAATAACCTAGGACATTATATTCCTTTATCTCACGATTTCATAATTCTAAATGTAATTGTTTATGAAACTTATTCTCTATCAAAAAAAATCATCACAAGACTCATTAAAGTGCTCTATTGTTTTTACTTAATTGTCTTTACACCCAGCAGTCAGCAAGCTGCATGATAGCAGAGCACATGTTTTGCTTGCAGCATCTAGCATAGCACCTGCAAATAATCAGTTGCTCAAAAAAAGAAGTTTGCTGAATGAATGAATAAAATTCTACTTCTTTGTTTCACTGAAGAATTCAAATTGAGCCCAATAGCATAGCATGCTCTCATTTCCTTTTAAAAATAAAATTCTGAGTTTCAACTTTGACCAAGGCTCAATTTATTACAAAACGTAAAACAAAGCATGAACAAATGAAACATTTAAAGTACATGCTCATTTTATACATGCAGCTTTACAAAATCATACTTGACTTTTCTGAATTTTCATTTCCTCAGCTCCAAAGTGATAAAAAGACCTCACAAAGTGACTGTTTTTAATTGACTAACATACAGAAATGTCCCACTTCTTAATAAGCAACTAATAATGCTTGATATTCTTTGGTAAACTGTTTCTTTCTTCCCCACTCAACTTCGTCTTTCAATGCTGTCCTCATTCCTCATCACCAGCATTCTACAAACACAGACAGCAGTGTCACCAGCACTGATGGAACAGCAATAAGAAACAGGATGGAGAAGAGTCAAACCATCAACCACTGCCTGGGACACACTATTTCCTATGGTGCCCATCCTTGTCAAAGCCCTGACCAAACTCCATCTCAATTTCTAATCTCTTCAATGCTTGGCCTCATCATGAGGTCCACTGTCAATGGTTTAGACAGAGAAGTGTTTCCACTGCCCGAGTCCAGCCAGTGGGGCAAGGGGCAGTGGATGGGACAGAGGATGGAGTAGACTTTGCTCTCCTTTGGAGACCATAGAAGAAGGTGATGACTTCTTAAGCAGACATTCTGAGTGAAATTTCCTACAGAAACAAAGAAACCTTCATGGTCTAATTCAGGTACACCAAGGGTCAAACAGGATATTCTGAACTAATACAGCATCTGAGTACCCTACAAAACAACATCACACTTGCTAACAACTCAGAGAGGGTCTACTTTATAAAGTAGACCCATGATGCTAAGGAACAGACATTTCTCTAGTCAGATCACTGGAGGCATCACTGAAATTTTTGCACTTAGAAACAGCAATTGTGAAAGAAAGTGAATAAAAGCACCTGATCAAACGACTTCACAAACACCAACATAGCTGAGGCTTCCATATGTCTTTAATTCTGTGCTATTTACACTGCAGAATTTCAAGTACTTTTTAATTTCTTTGTTATACGTTATTTTCTGAATTTTTCTCCAGTGGATATGCATTACTTTTATAGTTCAGAGAATAAAATAACCACCAATAGAGGTATGAAGTGAGAAAAAAAAGAAAAATGACTTTCACTTCAGAAGCATAGTCACAGGACTCAGTGACAAAGGGAAGAAGGGGTGATTAGCAATTACGGTCAACTGCAGGTGGCAGCTGAGCACTGGGATGCCAAATAAGAATGCTGGAGTTTCATGGCATGGATACAGTCTGGCTCCACTGTTTTCTAGACGTTTGATCTTGGGCAAAATTACTTAACCCTTGCTTGCCCACCTGTTAAGATAGAGATAAAAGTACATTCCTGAATACAGCAAGTTCTCCACGCATAATCACTAGTCACCTTCTCTAAATTTCTTTCACATCCTACTTAGAGTGATGATTATCTTAATTCTTTGCTATTATTGTGAGAAAGTATGTTGGTAAACTCTGTGGAAAAGGAATAGGCATTGCCTGTTTCTCATCATGCTAACAGATGCTTTTATAGATAGATGTTATATTTACTGAAATGCACAGGAACACTCAGTAATGAGTGAAAGGGCAACACAATGCCCTTTCAGGAGTCCAGTCCTGTATCGCCTGGCACTAGCATTCGACCTCATCTCCAAGTATCAATGAAGATAACCTTGCCAACTCCTTTTACCCAGTATCTGCTTTACTGCAATTATTTAATCATAGACTCCATTTCATTTATTCAGTTCTGGACTTCTGTTTCAGGGACCGAGTGTTGATGGAACCACTGTGTGGCATCTTGGAGTGCCATAATCACTATTAATATTGGTACGTAAGACAGAGAATTTATTCAAGGAAACAGTCAAGACACAACTGTGGAACTCCTTAGTGTACATTTTCAGTAAGGTTGTTTTCACACTAAAACCCTCAGAGGTCCCCACAAAAGTCTTAGTGGATGCTGGTCGTAGTTAATAAAAAGAGGAGAAGCAAGATAAAGGCAGAGGTAGAGAGGTGTGTAAGTAGCAGGATATTTGAAGAAAAGCACAAATTCTGCAGCTGCAGGACCTGGAGTGAAGTTTGACTTTGCTGGTTAATAGAAATGATACTTCTGACTCCTGAGTTTTCTGGCAAATGAGATTTCTCCCTGTTCTACCCAGTATTTACCTAGAAAATTAAATAGAGCCAAATAAAAGTATTCATAAACTACTGAGTACTCTGCAACTATAATCATTATCAAGATAACAATCTTATTTAAGTTGCAGGATATTAGTTAGTCTTGGGAGAGCTGAGAGCCTGCAAACTATTCGAAAATTTGCCCCTTGGAAGATGGTAAATTGGTGTGGCATTACACAAAATGGGCTCAGACAACAAGTATTTACTGAATGCCAACTGCATGCTAGGCAGGGTATGGTACTGTGGAGGATATTACAAGATACTGTAGCTCATCTGCCATTGCTCCATGCGCAAGCCCCCTCCCCTACCCACCACTCTACTGCTAACCATAAGCATTTCTTCCATTCTGGAGATCCTCAATCTACGTTGAGGATGCTTAGATCCTAGAGGTCTATGGTGTTTGATTGGATTTTGTGCAAGACCTGTTATAGTAGCCCTTGACTCCACAGTTGTCTTTTGGTAGTCACCATAATCTTACATGAAACGTACATAGATGTTAACCTCTTAAAACCTAATAGAAGTCATATTGTGTACAAGATAAATATTCACTGGAAAAAACACTTAATTAACAAAAGTATAAATATAGTGGAAACAATCCAAATGTCCCCCAATAGATGAATGCATAAACAAAATGTGGCATATCCATACAATAGAATTTATTCAGCCATAAAAGGGAATAAATACTGACACATGCTACAACATGGTTGAACCTTGAAAACATTTCAACTGAAAGAAGCTAATCACAAAGGACCACATATTGATTGTACAATTCCATTTATATGAAATGTCCAGAGTGGGCAACTTCATAGGGACCAAAAGTACCAAAAGTAGACTAGTAATTGTCAAGGGCTGGTGGGAATAGGGGATAACTGGTAAGAAGAGTGGGGTTTCTTTGGGGAAGAATGTATGAGAGCATTCCAAAACTGTGTAGTGATGGATGCAAATACTCTGAGAATATAATAAAAGTCATTGATTTCTGCATTTTTTAATGGGTGAATTGTTTAGGATGTGAATTATACACCAATAAAGCTGTTATAAAAATTAGCTGGGCATAAAATCATTTTAAAAAGTATAATACAAAACAAAATGTGAAAATATCAAAAATATACTATGACAATAAGTTTTACAAAGTGGTATAGCTGCCTATTTTATTTAAGCCTATTTTCATCTTTGGATGTTTTAGAAAACACAATTGTTATTAAAACAACAGAATTTCATGGTAGGCTTTCCTTTGTGCTTTTCTATAAACAATACATAAAAAGTACCTCTTGTTACCAAAATAATCTCTTTACATAGGGGTTAAATAAGCTCACATGTGCTCTTTTTCGTCCACTAGGTCATAAGACTACTGTAGTTTCCTCATTCTATGGATTTCCATGGAAAATGACAGCCACCTTACTACTCAGAGCTAACAATGTGAGTTTGTCTAGCATTTTGTAAAGTACTCTAGTTTCCTAAATTGATGCGGTTGGTCCCCTCAGACCTTTGGCCTCCAGCCATCTCCTACAAAGGTCACTGAGGGGTCACCAGTTTTCCCCTTGCCCTCCGGGCAGGTCTGCATTGCAACCATACCTAAATGATAGCTGTCCACCTTGACTTCCATTTCAGATTACAAAAGTGTTAGTATTGGTAGAAAAATGACATTCAAATTATCCATTATTCTACCTTATGAAATACATATATTTAAAAGACAACTTTAGCACACTAAAAAGTTAAGGAAACATACAGTAATTCTGCATTATGTCTTCATAAGACACATTATCTATAAATCCATCATTTTAAATTCATCGTGTACAACAGCACTCCAAGAAATTATTAATGGAGCAACTAAAAAATATGTAAAAGTTCGTAAAAATTTATCTAAATCCTCCCTGCTTCTAAAAGATATTACTACTCCAACGCAGTTATAAAATTAAAATTCAGGCGAATTATTTTTATAACTTGTCTGTCCTTCCCCAGTCTGACACTTGTACATACCATTTGCTTATGAACCTTAGCCCCTGGCCCCAAAGGACATTCTTCTACTATACCATTGAATTGGCAGCTATTGTTCTAATTTCCCTACTGATGAGCCAAACAGTTAATCTGTTTTAACACACAATGCATAAAAGGTTTCATTTCAGTCCAGAAAAGAGAAAGAGACACTTATAATCACTGGGCATTCATATTTGAATGACAGCTAAACATAAAGGAACATCAGGCATGCAGCCATCTGGAAAAAAGCTGGTATTCTTTCGTATTATCTGTTCTCAAACCTTTAAGACAAAAGGGTCAGAGGTTGGCCAAAGACTTCCATTTAGTAAGATGCTCATTTCAAATCCATGGCCATTAATAAACATTCTGTCAGCCCCACAATAAAAGACAATCAGCTCCTCTCTCCTTCCATTTGGTGCATTCTGAAAGATGGCTTCATAATAAACATATACATGCACACTTAGAATTATTTTATTTACAAGGATAAATTGTGTGTGCCTGTTTAGAAGTAATACTTTCTAGTTCCAGATGAAAAAGAAACATAGTTTGCTGGGTATTAATACACAGTAATTGCAACATTCATTTTAATACAAAAGACAAAGTAGGCAATCAACCTGTGCTTATTATTAAAATTGCAATTTTTCTCATTTTAAGTTATTGAACCCCAACTGGAGATACTAAATTTATTACAAAATGCTAATGAAAATTACAATACAGAAAAAGTCTCACTGCCTATCTTTAAAACAAAACCCTATCTATGTTGTATATACAACTTGAAAACACCTTTTGATTCTTGTTATTATCACTCCATACTCAGGGTTTTTAGCAAAGAATGGTGATTCAGTCCTAAAAAGTGAAGGTCAGATATTTTGACTAATTCTTTCAACACACACATGCAGATGAACAGAGACTTCAACACTTTATTTAAAAGCCTGAGTCCTAGTCCTTCTAAAGTAAGTTCTGCTAACTAAAGGCTACATTTTCCTGGAGACAGTCCCTTTCCTTCTGGCTGCAAGCAATGTCTTCTCTCTTGCTGCTGAAACAGACACAAGACAAAGAGGTCCTTCTCATATGTTCCCAGCTCCTTTCTCCCCATCCCAGCCATTAAAGTCAGAATCTCACTTGCCATATGCCCAGAAGAGAGTGGAGTAAGGGTTCTTAATGACTGGTCATGGGCTTTAACACCCACATCAACAATAAAGGAGAGTATGCATAAAGACAGGTCCATTTGCACAGCATTCTTGCCAACGTTTCTTTGCACATCCTTTACAATCACTGTTACAAACTGCGCATCTGTGTTTCCCCAGAATTCATATGTTGAAATCAAATCCCAAATGGGATGTATTAGGAGGCAGGGCGTTGGGAAGGTAATTAAGTCATAAGGATGGGGCCCTCATAATGGAATTAGTGCCCTTATAAAAGAGACAGGAGAGAGCTACCTTCCTCATTGTCTGCTCTCCACCCTGTGAGGACAGAGAGATGATGGCTATCTGCAAACCTGGAAGCAAGCCCTCACCAGACCCTGGGTCTGCCCCCACCTTGATCTTAAGCTTTTCAGCCTTCAGAATTGTGATAATAATGGCATATTTGTTATAGCAGTCAGAACAGACTAATACAATCACCCTCTAAGCAGAAACCCATTATCCTTCCCATTTCATATGTGGGAAATATCAAGGGAGGAAGGGATTTGCTTGATTGTAATCGATCAATGGCAGACTAGAACTCAAAGCTCTAATTCTCCAGAAGCAAGTCCCCATCTCCCATCTGCTCACTGGGCCTGGTCTTAAGTATTGAAACAAGGGACTGTGCCAAAAAGTTGATTTGCTCAAAAGCAAATTAAATTTCCATATTTCAGTGCTGAAATAAGAAACAAAATAATTCCCCTAATTTTGTCAATGGCACCAACATTGTCCTTGCCATTTGCACCAAAACTCATGGTTATCTTAGATTCAAAACCTCTTTATCGTTGCCAATTACCAAAAATCCTTTTGATTTTTTTCCTTTCTGGTCCATCCATCCAAAGCTGGACCTCTTCAGGTCAAACTTGCTCTCAGTGCCTAGAACCTCATGCAATAGCTATATTTGGTCTTCTAGAACCTTGTGCAACAGCTATATTTGGTCTTCTAGATTTAACTGTTTTCACATTGCTAGGCATTCTAAGCAAGTGAAATAGATAAAAGTTCTGCCTTCGTTTAGTCAACCAGTGCTCGAAAGTCCATACTGGCTCCCAGTAACTTCAATGTCAAGTTCAAAATCGGCACAGTGACATTTGAGGCCTGTTAGTGACTTTGTCCTATTTGATTTATCCCATCTTATTACTACCAGCCTCAAACATGAATACTGTTCCATCAGATCAGTCTCCTTGCAAATCATTTGCTCCAATATCTATTTGCCAAGGCTCAACACTGTCCCCTCCCTTCCCATGACCATTTTCTAGTAGTTGTTTTATATGCTTTGCCACCTAATCACAGATCTCTTATGTTCTGTCCTAACTATGCCATGTGAGCATGTGCCATAATTCCAGGTATATACAGCTCCTTGAGGGAGACAGTACTGTCCTAAGCCTCCACCAGTCTACCTTCCGTGGGTGTCCCTTAAGCACACTGGTGAGGCATCTATAAAAATATTTATCGGGTCTTAACATCAAAATTTTTATCACATCTGTCAATTTTTTTTTAATGTGGCATCCTGAAGAGCTTGAGAAAGAAAGAAAACCAAGGCCATAGCCACCTTGAAACCACATTTTAGGAGGGATGTTGAGGAAAAGAGGATTTGTAGATTGAAGTACAGATGCCTAGCCCTCTCTGTACTCTACAAAACTAAGCCTAGAGACTTCTGCATTGAACGGGAACTGATGTAGATAATTTCCAATGTTAATGCTATGATTCTAATAAAAAGATTTCTGCAGTGACTACTCTTCATTTGGATAAAGTGGGGAATACATTTTTCTGAAAATTTGAATATTTTTAAAGTAAACATGGGAATCTCCATTAAGTGCAGTATTCCAAACATTAAAAGAAAAAGAAAAGCACCTTTCATTGAACTATTGTAGGATAAGATTTTAGAATAAAGATTAGGAACAATTACACAAAGAAAGTGAAATTACCAAATACAATGATGTAGTGCCTTGGAAAACTGTAAAAGAAACCAAAAGCCCAATGGAAATATTTGCATATCAAAGTGGGGGGAATAGTTTCTGTAGGAAGCAAGGTAAAAATCCAGCATTAAATGATGGTAAGCTCCTTCCCAAAGATGAGCTCTTATGATTCAGTCCTTGAATTAAATACGCAGGTTACCTGCTTCTCCAGGAGTTTCAGCATCTTCAATATTAAAAAGCACTGTTTTATTACAGGCCACCTTTATCTCATTACATGTACAATAAATAGGTTCCTATAACTCCATGATATTGTTTAGCTTGTTCTGCATAAAAGAATCTTAAATCTGACATGACCAAGAGAATGCAAGTCCAAGTCACGGAAGCCAGTCTGCACATCAACATCAGAAACAAATGGTTTGTGTTCTAAAGTCAGATACCATGACTTGTTATGGTGTATTCATTTTCCTACTGGAATACCACAATTCTAATGCACGCCCTCCCTCACGGTATTACAAAAGGGGGATGTATTAGCCCATTCTCATGCTGCTAATAAAGACACACCCAAGACTGGGTCATTTATAAATGAAAGAGGTTTAATTGACTCACAGTTCAGCACGGCTGGGGAGGCCTTCTTCACATGGTGGCAACAAGAAGTCCAGAGCAAAGTGGGAGGAAAACCCCTTATTAAACCATCAGATCTCATAAGAACCCATTCACTATCACAAAAACAGCATAGAGGTAACTACCGCCATGATTCAATTACCTCCCACTGGGTCCCTCCCATGACATGTGGGGATTATGGGAACTATAGTTCAGGATGAGATTTGGGTGGGGACACAGCCAAATCATATCAGGGGATGAGCAAATAAAAAACCAATCAAGATGGTACAGAGCCTGCTCTTCTCCCTTGGAGCAAAGGGAAAACAATTGGCTTATTTGAGCTGAATGAACTTAATTTCAGTAATTCGAGATTTTACAAAGTGAATTTAGAATCAGTGAGGTAGCTTTCTTTGCTTTCAATCTGAAATATAAAAACCTACTTCTTGTATTTAAATGTCCTCATAAAGCAATGCAAATATCTTCATATTTCGATTATAGAAGAGCTCCAAAGTGAAAGTGACTACCAACAATTCCATTTATCCGTGGACAATTCATTGCCTACAATGAATAAAATCCCGCTGAAAGTAATTAAAGTAGATGGGAAATAGAAAATTGAATTTTTTTAAAGATTCCCTCACAGTTTTAAATAATGCAGCAATCTGAGCTGAATTAACCACCATAAAATAGTTCTTTATCTTTCTTACGTCCTGTAAAAGATAAGATTTATCCTACAAATATCCCTCTGATAATGAGCATTCTGGCTTGTCTGTATAAGTCATATCTTCTCTGTCTCACTGGCATATCCTCTATAGTCCCATTGGCAAACCTCCTGGCATTTAAAAAAAAATACATGCATACACACAATTTTACAGGACATGAAGAGTCACTAACTTCCTAAAACTGAATGTTTCCACTCCATTTTTACATTGCATTTATACAGTCTGAAGGATCTGGTTTTGTGCCATTATCTAGCATTCCACTATTCCACAAGAAGAAATCATTAGATTTTTCTGGACGGCAATGTTTCTGAGAGGAATAGACCACAGAAGTAAAATAATCATTCGAACATGCCATGTTCAGCAGGTTTAGTCATAAGCATTTTTAAAAATTAGGTAATGGTACAAAATGTTTAAAGTTTGAAATTTATATTTCATATTTACTATTAATATTTCACGTACTATGTTAAAATATAGGATCTCCCAAATAGTAAAAACAGCCCAATTAACTAAAGGATAATAGGTGTACCACAAGCTGTGTCTCTGCCAAACCATCCTTGTGGGTATGTTGGAAAGTAGTAGATTTATGGAAGTCATAAATTCGAGACCTACATGTTCTTTCTGATTGTGAAAGCTATCATTAACCGCAGATTAAGTCTGAAGGAAAATAAAGTCAGAACACATTACCGGGACCCATGGTTGGCAATTTAAGCAAAAGGCTAGAAATTAGAAACCAGTTCTAACCCTGCCTCCACAACTCCCTTGCTGGTAGCCTTCGGCAACATTTAATCTCTTAGTGTTTAAGTAGCTACATCCTCAAAACAGGGGCAAGCATTACTCTTTAATTACTCTCACAGCCGTTCAGTGACATATGTTAAAATAGACATAGGTCTTCAGATTCTGATCTACAGTAATACTAAACACTGATACTGGTGTCAGGGTAGGAACATGCTGTTGAAAACACCGTCTACACTTTCAATATCACTAGCTGGAATCCCTTTGCTATCTCAATTAATTAAAAGAGTGTCAGGTATGCATTTATGATGGAATTAATCAGAATGCCATTAGAAAGAAAATATGGTACCATATTTATTTTAATAAAGCTCCCTTTATGACATCAGACTCATTAGCCAAGTCTAAAGAATGCTGAGCTCTACAGGGGAGCTACTGTTATAACAGCAGGCTGGCAAGGCTCAGCTCCACTGGGTGCAAAGCACTTGGCCCATCAGGCAGAACAAATAAAATGCAGTGTACTATAATTCCATTTTTCTTTAAAAATGCTTTTAAATGATATAGTAAAGTAAGATCTGTCATCTCATATGCATGCATAGGATCATCTGGCTTTAGGCAATATATCTAGGAAGTAACTAGTCTTCAAAGGAACAAATGTTTAAGATTTAGCACAGATAAGATTACAATGCGTATTTTTAAAACTATATATATTTTAAGTATAAAAAATGTAAAAATGTAAACATGTTGAATGGGAGAGAGGTGAATCGTCACAGAAAGAAGGTATTAATGAAAATGTGCAGACGTATATTATAGCAACCTAGAAGCCTATCAATCACACCACTTATGAAAAGGAATATAAGAAATTATCTGCCCATTAGACTGGTGTGGTGTCTCATGCCTGTAATCCCAGCACTTTGGGAGGCCAAGGAAGGAAAATCACTTGAGGCCAGGAGTTTGGGACCAGCCAGGACAATATAGCTGAACCCTGTCTCCACAAAAAATTAAAAAAAAAAAAAAAAAGAGCCAGGCATGGTGGCATCCACCTGTAGTCCCAGCTACTTAGGAGGCTGAGATGGGAAGATCACTTCAGGCCCAGGAGTTCGAGGTTACAGTGAGCTATGATTGCACCACTGCACTCCAGCCTGGGCAACAGAGCAAGATCTGAAGAAAAGAAAGAAAAAGAAGAAAGAAAGAGAAACAGTGTCCAAATGGAGTTCTGCTCTAATCACAAGACCTCAGTACATTAGAAAGACCACAGGGCTAGTTACTGCTGGGTTGTTTTCAGGTCTGCTGCCTCCATTGTCCTGAAGGAAACCACACTTCCCAACTGGTCTGGGCCAATAGGAAGCATTGGTGGAAGACAAGAAAACAAGAGGGAAGAGGGAGAAGCAAGGGTATCCACCCAACACATGCACTTCAGGTGGCATCTCTAGCCCCCTCTAGAGTCTTGGCTCCCATCAGACACAGTCTTCCACTACCATCTTGGTCCTAGCTCCCTCCAAGGTTGCTCCAGTCTCTGGGATCCAGAAACACCACCTGCTCCCATCATTTCTCCAACCCTACGGATGATGCAGTTGCTTCCTGCTGTTGCTGGTCTCTGAGTTCCTCACCATTTGGAGTTTGCCTTTTCAACTCTTGCATCACCTGTGTCGACAATGCCCTGTCTTAAATTCCCTTTGTTTGGAAGGCCCAGTGGTTTCTGGGCCCTGAGCTAAGAGTCAGAAGACCTTTCTTTATTCAATCCGGTCTCCACTATTAAACCACGTGGCCTTGGAAAAATTCACAATCTTGCTAGTCCTGAATCTTCTCATCTATAAAATGAGGGACTGGAGAGCTTTTAAAACCCCAATGTCCACATCATATCCCATAGAATTTAAATAAGAATGTCTAGGAGTAGAAGCCAGACATCATTATGTTTTTAAAATTATTACCCAGATGGCCCTTTTGTGCAGCAAAGTTTGGGGACCACTGCACTAGAATGTAAGAACGTATGCTTGTGTATTCTTACATTTTCTAGAATGTTCTAAAATAGTAGGTATAGGGTAGTAAAGGATGCATTTTTCAGAAATGAGCTTATTTTTAGTTCTAGTATGTTTTTACTAGCTATACTCTTAGCTGTTACTAGCTATCTTCAATTATACTCTTTACTTATATAAGCAATATATACACTTAACCCATATAATGCATTATACTCAATGTCTAAATATTCAATTACCGCAAAAATTCCCAGTAGCTAGACTGTCAAGTCATACCATAAATACCTTGAGGAAAAGACCTGATCCAAGGTCTGGCCCTATTGCCCCATCTCCATCCCCATCACATTGGAGTCTCCTGCTACCTCTCCTTTCAGTTATTTGAATCCCATTTCTCTCCTCTGCCCACTAAGATTGGTAAATTCATCTCCTCTGAGCACAAACCACCTCACCCTTGCATCTAATTCTGTGAACTACAAATTCCTGGCTCCAGCCTTGCCTGGCTTCACAGGCTGCATGCCCCCAACTTCAGTCTCCCTGGCAACGTCACCAACCACTCCCAGCCCAGCCTACCAGTGAGGTCACCAGGAACTTGGGCAAGCAGGCCCTCACTGGCAGCAGCAAGCTGCAGTGGGAGAAAATTAGCCCTGAAAATGTGTGCACCAAGATCTGAACAAGGTCAAATGATGTGATAAGTTTGCATGGTTGCTTCTCAAACAGAGGTTTGATCAATACACGAAAAGAATATTTTCACATCACAAAATAATGACACTACAAGTTTGATTCTGTGGGTCTGTAGTGGGCCAGGAATCTCTTTATGTAATAACCCGAGGGGATTCTCACGCAGGTGGTCCTCAGACACCTCACACATTAGTAAATGTCACAGGTATACACTCTGTTGCTTTTTTTTTTTTTTTTTTTTTTATACTTTAAGTTTTAGGGTACATGTGCACATTGTGCAGGTTAGTTACATATGTATACATGTGCCATGCTGGTGCGCTGCACCCACTAACTCGTCATCTAGCATTAGGTATATCTCCCAATGCTACCCCTCCCCCCTCCCCCCACCCCACCACAGTCCCCACAGTGTGATATTCCCCTTCCTGTGACCATGTGATCTCATTGTTCAATTCCCACCTATGAGTGAGAATATGCGGTGTTTGGTTTTTTGTTCTTGAGATAGTTTACTGAGAATGATGGTTTCCAATTTCATCCATGTCCCTACAAAGGACATGAACTCATCATTTTTTATGGCTGCATAGTATTCCATGGTGTATATGTGCCACATTTTCTTAATCCAGTCTATCATTGTTGGACATTTGGGTTGGTTCCAAGTCTTTGCTATTGTGAATAATGCCGCAATAAACATACGTGTGCATGTGTCTTTATAGCAGCATGATTTATAGTCATTTGGGTATATACCCAGTAATGGGATGGCTGGGTCAAATGGTATTTCTAGTTCTAGATCCCTGAGGAATCGCCACACTGACTTCCACAATGGTTGAACTAGTTTACAGTCCCACCAACAGTGTAAAAGTGTTCCTATTTCTCCACATCCTCTCCAGCACCTGTTGTTTCAAAAAGTGGGCGAAGGACATGAACAGACACTTCTCAAAAGAAGACATTTATGCAGCCAAAAAATACATGAAAAAATGCTCATCATCACTGGCCATCAGAGAAATGCAAATCAAAACCACTATGAGATACCATCTCACACCAGTTAGAATGGCAATCATTAAAAAGTCACTCTGTTGCTTTTAATGAAGCAAATGACATCTACACAAACATGAAGATACCCTGTTAAATGTTTCTCTCAAGCTGTATAGAAAACCTCCCTTCTAACCAACTACAGGCATGAACTTAGCTGGTTGAGGGACTGAAAGGACAGAGTGGGAGAAATGCAAGGAGGGGAGCTCCTCCCTAATCCAACCCTGACTCAACATCTCAGTAGCATACATTAATCTACAAAACCCACCCGTGCTGTGGAAGAGAAACCTAAGAAGTTGGGTGTCACTCTTTTAATAGTGTGAAATGAGGGGGGGGAACCTCAATCTATTTTCACTCAAACTTGTTTCCCTTCTTTCTTGATAGTCAAGAAAAAACTAATCCCAAGAAAGAAATCAAAGAACTAAACTTTTATCTTTCCTTAAGAAAAATAAATGACAGTGCCAGGCAAATTCTCTCATTCTACATGGAAAACACACTTTTCCAGCTGTGCACACACACAAACTGACAGATCAACTGCAAAGGCAGTCCTACACTTTGCAAGATGTAACTAGGTAGACATGAATTTATGAAAATTAAACTTTGGAGTCACTAAAGATAAGGGCAAGAAGAAACCTTAGAAATTATCTCATTGAGTGGGCTGTACGTTTAAGCAACCTATGCAGAGCTCTGGGAGTTCTCAGAGGTGCCTCATACCTTGGGAACATTCGAGAAGAACAGAGGCTGCAGGCTGTCACTGCTACTTCCCCAGGACATGACATGAAAGGGCAAAAAGGCAACGTTCACCAAGCTCCTTCTGCATGCCAAACCATTAATACACATCACAGTATTTAAAAGTCACGGCAACCTTATACTGTGCTTTAAACCCACTTACAAATTGGGGAAAAGTCTCAAAGGGGTTAAAATAACTTTACCCAAGGTCACATTGTTGGGAAGCAGCAGAGTAGGACTGGAACTTGGGTGGGTCCAACCCCACATTAGTTCTCTGGTCAAGAACTTTGTAGGATGCAATCATCCCACCTGGATTCAAATTTAGTCTCCACCTTACTAGCTGTGTAACCTTGAGCAAGATAACTAACATTTTTGTGCCTTAGCTTTTGCATCCTGAAAACAGGTAGCAATTTCATGGAGTTTTTTGAGGATTTAGGGATATCAAGCCCTGGTATGGTATATATGGTCAACCCACATAAAGGTGGCTGGCAAACAGTAAATGCTCAAGACATGGACCAAGAGACCCTGGCACTTCTGCCATTCCTCCCCCACCACACCTAGTTTCTGTTTTCTGCTCTTCTCTGTCAGAATTCTTTTTATACCCCCACAACACTGTTCCTTTCTCCAGTGAGTTTTTAAAAAAATAAAAAAAAAATCCATATAACCATTCAAGTTTAACATTTTTAGTTACAGAGTAATTACAAAGCATTTATCAGTTCATAACAAGAACACGGCAAGGCTTTAATGACTATGGAATAAAAAAGAAAGAAGGTAGAAAAAGAATAAAGAATTTACTTACAAATGCAACTCAGCATCTAAAACCCCTTTTAGGAGAATTAGATGACCTCAGAGAGAACAGACCTGTGTTAGAGCAGAGCATACAGTCTTATAACTGCAGTGCTCAGAGAACTAACAAGAAGCAATTTTCTGTTCCTCCAAACCTGTCTCCTAATTAAATTAATCAGTTTAAAATGGGTTAGACTTCTTGTGCTTCATGCCTGTAATAGTCTATGGTTTGAAAAACGTAGTGTGATACATCTATTGGCTTGTATTTCATTAGAATTAGGGATTCATAACTATAATATCCCATCTGGTAGTTAGCAAAGGAAATAAAGCTTTTCAAAGCAGAATAACGAGTCTGCATAAATTTGAAATTCTGCTGATAGAAATGTCACCTGTGTTCCAGATGAGTACTGTAATTTAAAAATATACTTTAACAAAAGATATGTTTGCTTCCAAATTTATGATTCTACTCCCCCAACTCCTTTCCAAGGAAGGGATTAATTGTATGTGTCACGCAGATTGTTATTAGAGAGATTGACAAGATCACAGTCTCTCTTATAGAGCCCTTCCAAATCCCAATCAATCAATTCTGCCATATTCAATGAATTAATGAGGTCATACGTGGACAATACTTATATAGCACATTTTTAAGAAGGCGGGGACTCCAAAATGACACCTAGGGAGAAGGTGCACCTCAAACCCAAGGTGATACCCAGCCTAAGAAAATGCTCCCTCGCCCAGGTGGAGTTATTTGTATATCTGCTGTGTATTTTCCAGTACAACACTTTCCATATCTCACGTGCTTCTAGCTACCTCCATAACAAGTGATAGGATCGGCTAGGGTCAGATGACAGAAAAATGAGGCAAGAATGCAAAGCTGAAGAAACTTATCAGTATCAGAAAAAGGTGGTGAAGCTCCAGTGTGACCCTGGGCATGAGTGACGAAGAAGAGAGAGGAGCTCCCAGAAAGAAGGCCTGGGTTTCCCAGGAGACTCACTCTGGATAAGAGGGAAAAAAAACATGGATGCAAAGGGCAGGGAGGGTATCAGTCCAGGACGGAGGATGGAACAAGAGAGAGAAAGTACCCCTAGAAATAAAGGCTGCCTCCCACTCTTTCCCCTCTCTCTTTAGAAGGAAGCTCTCTACTTCTGTCTCTTTACTTTTCACATCCACAGCTATACTTACTGGTTCCCATGTTTGTGCTCTCCTCCAGAGTCTAGACTATGGGTCCCCCTGGGTCAAGGACTGGCTTCTATAAACGCATGATGAATGAACGAACAAGGAAGGGATGGAAATGAATTCTTTTTGAACAGTAGGTCAAATTACACACATCACTGTAACAATGTAGCTTCAAAGAAGAGTCATTCAAGGAAACACAACTGCCAACAACTTTCTGATACATTATTAACTTGCTACTTTCCTAACCAAACCCTAGCCTTCAATTGTCTTCACAGGGTAGGATGGGGGAAAAGAAGGTATAAAATCTAAGTCAGAGATGAGTGTATGGTAATCTAAGCTATTGTAGCCAAGCAAGGAAAACTACTTCCCCATCCCCCACACAGGGGTCCACCCTGGGTAGAGGGGAGGAATGAGCTTGTTGTTCCATGTTCACAACTAATCTGAAAAGCCAAAGATTCCAGATTGCCTTGACCCTGACTCTCCATTGGAGGAAAGCTTTGTGGCATAATTACCATTTGTTTACTCTCTAGTTACACTGTCATACTTAAATGTGCAAATTAATCAAATCATACCTCTCCAATTTTCCAGGTCACAACATTTCTAAGAATTCCTACGAGACTGAGTAGAACAGAGCCAGTTTCCTTAGATGAAGCCCCAACTTACTTCTTTTTAAAGAGCTGTGCCAAAGGCATTGTTCCCAGGGTTGTGTTCATCCAGTCACAGCACGGCTCTGCTGACATCATTCCTCGCGCTCCCTGGGAACCACCAAGAATGAACCAGAAGGGACTGCTGCTCGAGGGGCACAAGAGTACTGTCAGGAGGGACCGGACCCTGGCCTTACTAGACCCTGGATTTCCTGTCTGTAACAGCTATAATAATACCAACCCCATGAGATTGCTGCAAGGATTAAATGAGTGTATCTTAAAACCTCTAGAGTGTGCCTTCCCAGAGCAGTACTCACAAAATGGCGGCCATGATTATGATTATTACTGTTGTTGTGATGATGATGATGATGATGATGATGATGATGATTTCCTTTCATATCCCCGCCCCCAGCCTGCCCTAAAGTGGCCACACTTTTGCCTAAGCTGGTTCTCAACCGGGACAACTCAAGTTTCTCCTAAAACGAGATCCAGTTCAAAGACCACACGCTTCCTGACAACTCTCCCTCTCCTGGTTCCCCTCAGTACACAGGAGGAATCATCTCTTCCATACTCCCATCATCCCAAGTCTACAGCTTGACTGTGATATTTTCCTGCCCTATTAGCTGAATGACTCTCATCTTCCCAGATTATGACCTCTCTCACGGAATAAACATCCCAAAACTTCCCATAGTAGAGTGCATAGTTCAAGATTTTAACCGTGATCTCCGGAAACATCCACAAACAGCAACGTATCAGGACAAAGGTGACACTTTTAACTGCTCAGGGGAATAGGCCGGACTTCAAAGACACCATTTGAATTTTTATCACCTGTGTAGTTCTTAAGGTTTTGCATCATTGGAGATGGGGATGATAAATCAGGCACCCAAATATTACATCATTATAATAAACTAGTTTACATCTTTCTCATGAGACAAGAATTACTCATGCTCTTACCTCTTCAGTAAGTACATTACCTGCTGTGTTCTGAATTCTGGCAAGAGCCACCTTTTATGAAGTCACTCTTGTACAACACACACAAAAAATATATATATACAAAGAAGTATTCACCACACCGATGCCCATAGACACACACTCCATATAATACCTCAAGCCCAGCTATATTCCAGAAGATGAAAGGTCCTTAAGTTTGGAATTTGTGATCCTGTGAGTCCACGCAAGCAGAGTTTTTAAAATAACTAATCCAGTCATGGATGAAGAGTCTCAAAGCCAAGACGCTCCCTATGTAAGTTTAGTATCAGCTCTACCCTGCTTCCTTGTTACTCTTCAGCCTAAAAAAATATCTTGCAGAACTGTACACTAAAGTATTGATTCCTCTTAGAGAAAAAGGCATCATGCAAAACACTCTAAAAACAGGGTTTCTCAGCCTCTGTACTACCGACATTTGGGCTGACACTTCTTTGCTGTGGGTAGTGCTGTCCACTACGTTGTAAGATGTTTAGCGGCATCCTTGGCCTCACTCTAACAGATGCCAAAAGTACCTTCTCACTTGCTGTGATAACCAAAATTGTCTCTAGACATTGCACAATGTCCTAGGGGACAAAGCCACCCCCAACGAGGGCCACTGATCTAAATAAAGTATCACTCTTTACAAACCATCATTTAAAAGTGAGAAAACTGGCTGGGCACAGTGGCTGATGTCTATAATCCCAGCATTTTGGGAGGCCAAGGTGGGAGGACTGCTTGAGGCCAGGAGTTTGAGACCAGCATGAGAAACATAAAGAAAAGAAAAAAAAACAATTTTTAAAATTAGCCAGGTGTGGTGGCACATGCTGTAGTCCCAGCTCCTTAGGAGGCTGAAGTGAGAATATCCTTTGAACCCAGGTGTTCAAGGTTACGGTGAGCTATGATCCCACCATTGCACTCCAGCTTGAGTGACAAAGCAAGACCTTGTCTCTAAAAAAATTAAAACCAAATAAAAGTGAGAAAACCCTTTAAAAACCGGGGCAATGTAGCTCTAAGAGAAAGTACTGAAGCAGAAGACCCAGTTCAAATCCCCATTTTATTCCAAGGGAATTGTGCAACATGAGCCAGACAGGCTGGGCTTGGAACCGGGCTCTGCCGATTGCCAGCTGGGTGACCATGGGCTAGGTACTAAACCTCTAAGACTCAGTTTACCCACCTACAAAATAATAATGATAATAGTAAATGTTTCCTGGAATTGTTGTGAGGATTAAATAGATTAACATATGCAAAGTGTTTAGAAAGTGCCTGGCACATATTAAGCACACATTAAACACTAGGTATTCCTATCATCATATCATTTAACTTTCTATGCCCAAGGTTCCTCATCTGCCATGTAGTATGAATAGTGCCACACAATATTATAAATATTTGTTAGCTCTAGCCTGCAGTACAAAGATATGTAAATAAGTTATTTTGATTTCTCTGGTAGAGTTAAAAACAATACACTCTGATCAATTTACGAAACCCAACTATCCCATCCCCCCCCAAGAAAAATAATTTTTTTCAAGTTTTATTTCAAATTCAAACACTATCATGGTAGAATTATGAAGTCAATGCCCTAGCTTAGTGCAAGAGAAAAATATCCATTAAAAACACGGCACGGTTTCTGATTGTGCAGTGGATTCACAGTAATTGCTCAGTATATGTTATTATGGTTGTATTCCATATTGTTGTTATGATCCATGACAAATGATTACAACCCTCTCATGAGTGTGCCTGAAAGACACCATAAGGGGAAGCAGATGAGAACTTGTAGATGACTCAAACACTCGCCACCACCCCTGGGAAACCAAATGTGTGGGAGTGGGTAGAAACTAGACATGTTTATTGTGGAAAAGTCTCACTGGTGATTCCATTATATAATATAACCACACTCAAGCATGTATATTCATTTACATGCGTGCACACACACACATCCTGCTGTCAGGTTGAGAACCACCGGCCTATTGCATCAGCATTAGAGGAGTTATTTTATTGTTAATTGAAAAAAAGAGCACACACACATGCATGCTGTCATCATGTTGAGAACCACCAGATAGAAGAGTTATCATTTTTAACTGGAAAAAAAACTTTGCCGCAACAATGTATGGGTATTCATTGATTTACAAAACAGATACTGCCATAAGAAAAGTAAACTTAGATCCAACTCCCCTTCTTTTGCTGGTGATTACAGAGACACATTCAAATGTACCTTGTGTCCCAGGGTACTTGCGCACAAACTTCTAGTGTAGCAAGGTTAGGGTGGCCTGTCTTCAAAAATAGCAGCACCCCAGCCTGCTGGCCAGAGGCAGTTCTCTTTAGGGCACCCTCAAGCTACTGTGTAACTTTAAAAAGAGTCAAATATCCAAATCAAATATTCAAAAATCAGACCAAAGGCTAGATGATGTCAAGGCAGAGAGAGCTATTTATTGCAAGGTTCTAGTTGCTACTTCAGTAACTCTAAAATAAGGGAGATTAGGGGGAAGTGGGTCCCCAGAAGGAAGAGATAAGAGGTTTGTAACCTGAAAACCTTACAATACAGAGATACGATATTAGACTAACAGTCAATTAACATGGCAGGACCTACAAGCCATGTATCAAGGCTCCCCATAGCAAGGGCAAGAACCGCCTGAGCAACCAAATCACAGGACAGGACTAACAGATTTGGAACTCCACAGGGGCTTATATCTAAGGGGACAGTGAAGACTGATTCTACTGAACAAAGCACAGGAATCATCCAAGACCACAAAAGCTGAACTCACCAGGTAAATAAAGTGTTAAATCAACCAAGCACACCTATCCTCAACCTCTAACAGTGTATTACAGTGCTGACTCCAGTCAGCTCCAGCTGTCTCAGCACTGGTGAGCCCCACAGCCAGAGAGAGCCAGGAGGAGAACAGGCAGGGGCCTGCATCTCTAGCAGAGATGACACCACACGCAAGTACCACATCATCCAAAAGCATTTCCAGCCTAAGTCCATTCTATACAAAAGGGAAGAGAAAATGCCAGTTCAGCTGTATCAACGAATGGAAGAGGAAAACGAGAACTGCTTTCTTAGCATCAAGGGGTTTCAGAGGGTCAATAATTTACATATTGCTATGAATTAAAAGAAGCCTACATATCATATTTTCTGAACTATTTAAATAATTCTTAGGTTCTTTATAACTTGAGTTTTCATGGGAGTGGCTTAATGTCTAAATTTTTAAAAGCAAGATGCAATTAATATTTTAAAGGTTCACTCCAACCATTAAATGAATGCCTTTAAAACCAAAAGCAAATTCATTTCAAGTACAGCATTAGGAGACACACAGCAATGAATGTTTGTTTGCATAAATTTAGAAATTATGCATGTTTAACAATATACAGATTGTAATGAAACCATGTATATTACTGTCTTAGGTTAAGTTATATTTGGTAGACAACTCAAAACCAAGACAGTTCTTACTAAATTGCTGAGTCTTCTTGTAGCTAATGACTGCTGCTTGCTATGACAGCCAGAAAAAAAAACATCAGCAAAGTAATTATAATGAATCAATAAAAAACCCATAACTAAAGCAGAGTCATCTGAAGAGTAGAGAACTGGAACTTGGAAGAACAACTTATTAAATAAAAAACAATTAACTAAGGAAATTTAGTAAAGCGTATGCTGTTAATTTATACATTCATGTATCTACTCACAAACCTGAGTAGAAACTATGTGTTGGGCCCCATGTAGCTACTGGGAAGAGATACCATAGCTGGACCTGCTCAAAGTCTGCTTGAGAAACACAGACATGATACAGAAGACACACTTAGATTGTTAGTGTGTGTCCAGCACCATATAAGCAGTTCAGAAATGTGACCTCATTTAGCGTTCCACAGCAACCCTGCAACGCCATCTTACAGATAAGAACAGAAGCACAGTGACTGTAAGTTGCCTAAGATCATACAACTAGTATATGGCAGAGCTTGTACTTCAATCTAGAAAATCTTGCTCAAGAGCCCACACAAATGACAAACACGCTATGCTGCCTGTCCATACTGAGATGTCTCCCTTAGACCATCGTGTAAAAATCAAGAATCTATAACCTCTCACAGATGTTAAGTATCTACATAATAGAAGAACATTCAAATTGCCCAAAGGAGGGGAAAGTCATTCTGTCAAAACCAGAGAGCTAAAAATATAAAATACATGTATCCAAACAAAATTTATTATGAATAAAGTATGAGATCACTGCTAGTTGGGATTCATTTAAAAAAGAAAACTTTGTCATAATTTCTTTTAGAAGGAGATAGAACATAAATGATAATAAAGTTAGGAAATTAATAGATTGTTTTGTTTCTAATCAACAGCTACTATTGCAATGAAGCATCTTTCTGATATCATGGTTCTTAAACAGCTCCAACTTGGCAGCTGTACACAATAACTAAACAAACAACAACCTCTGAGAACAAAGTAGCAGTCTTGAGCTCCCACACCCACCGAGGGAAAAGCCCAGAAGAAAGGCCACAAATAGGAAGATGCTCTGACAGTGAGTGACTGGTCAAGTCAAGCAAAACAAATGCCTACCTAGCTGGCCAACCTCTTGCAGTGGCTGCTAAGACATACTTGGAGACGCTATAAGACAGTAGAGGAATAAAGAGGAGTAAAGAAAGTAGTTAACCCTGGGCTCAGCAGGTGCCATCAGTGTCTGAAAGGGCCTGGGGATGAGCCACAGTGACAGAGGTGATGCCCAAGAGCAGAAACTAAGCAGGAGTGCTGAGCTGTAGACTCTGACAAAAGAAAACAGTCTTTGCTGGTAAAATGAAAGGAGAAGAGCAAGGCAGAAGGACAAACAGTGATGTGTATTTCAATGCCTTAGTACCCAAGGGCATCGGGGACACTCTGATGGTATACCAATCACAACGAGGAGAAACCATGGAACTTACTCACCCTACAGAGCAGAATCTGTCGCTTATTACTTACCACAAACAAAAACCTGTATTAGCTGGGCATGTGGCAGGGAAGTTGTATGGACACATCCACAAAAAAAGGACAAGTAACCATCTCTCTCCTGGTGCTGCTGACTGATATGGGAGGGTCATCTAACCTCTTTAAGTCTCAATGACATCACTGCTAAGTCAGGAGAGAATGACAGCCCCTCCACCCCACTACCAGCTGCAGAGCCTATAGGCATCAGATGAGGTCACGCATACATACTGGTGTTCAGTAATGCTCCATGAATTTTACATATTATCATCACCATCACCACTACCATATTGCTATGGTTATCTTGCCCACAAATCTGCTTACATTCTAGTGGAAAAGATATCAAGAGTGAAAACTAGTTATGAGAAGGACAGTATAGAGACTGCAGAGTATAGAGACCTGGGTCAATTTCAGAGTGCCTCTTACATTTCACTCCAGCATCACACTTGAGATACAGCCGGACTCAGGGTGGCAAGAGAAGAGCAGATGGATTGAATGGTATAGCCACCAGCCAAGTTGAGCTGTCCTCAGTCACCTATGTTGACACACAGTCTCTGTGGCTTTAGCTAACAGATCACATTTGAGTCAATAATTTAAGATAGCAGAGAAGTCAAGTTTCATCTCTTCCAGGAGGCCTTCTGAAATCCCAATTTCCCAAGAAGAGAGTGGTCATTTCCAAAGCAGCCTCTCTGAGACATGGTGCTTTATAAGTGATGTGCACCATCAGACAGAATTATAGCTTCCTACAAGAGGGTAGGAACTACATAGTATCTTTATTGTATTTCCATTGGCTGGCAAAGTTTCTGACACGTTTGCCAGCCAATGAATGCTGGCTACATAAATGAATAGTTAGCTTTCTGATTTTTATTTACAAAATTTACACAGCTGTCTAGAGTATTTACCTACTAAGCTCAGTTCCTTAAAGGACCAAACAACTAAGATATTGTCAGGAAAAAAATACACAGCTTCTGTATTTATAGAAATATTTCTGATAAATAACTAGACATCTCTTTTAATTGGCTTATGATGCAAAGTCCTAAAATATAGGTTAAAAAGCCCCATTCCCTGTAACTAGTGGTCAGATTTATCATCATGAACAGCAATTAATATGCTAGGTGGAAGGAGAACAAAGGTTGAGGGAGCTACTGGTGTAGGGAGAGGGCTGCTTCCTTCCAGGCTATGGAGCCCCTCCAGCCTGGTTCTTTCCTCCCCCACTTTTCTGCAATAATGTCTGCTACTCTGCCCCTCATTCCCACTACATGTACCCTCCCCTCCTTTTCCTCCTCCTTCAAGCTTCTCTTTTTATCCCCTCTTGTCTCTGGCTCCCAAAGAAACTAGATGTGGAGGCCAGGCACCCCATATCTTAGAAAGCTTTCATCTCAGAAATCATCTCCAGTCAAGAAAAGTGTTCTTTTCTATCTGGCCAGAAAACTAACAAAGTACTTTGTTCTCTATGTAACTGACCACTGTCACTTCTGAACTCTTCAGTTTACTTTCCCTTTCTCCCTTCCCCAATTGCAAGGCACTATTCTAGATCCGCAAAGTTACTCAAAGACTGATCTTGGGGAGAAAATGATATTTCCTTTCAGTATAGAGAAAAAAAGTTACACGGTTATGAATCCACTCCTACCATTTTTTCTGTAGCAGTTCACTGTGATTGACCTTTTAAGTCACATTTACATGTAGCCACGGCAATAATAATTACACACACACATTATTTAATTAAGGACAGTAATATAAGATCATAGACTTACATCTTTATTAATTTCTGTTACAATATTTCAAAGTTCACAATAATTTGGTCTGAACTAAAGTTTATGCTCTAACTTCTCATTCACTCATCTACTACTGTATTAAGTCCCTAATACACATAGTGCTATTTAAGGCATTATAATGGATTAAAACCAAAAAGCAAACAACAAAACAAAGCAAAATGCTTTCAAGGAGGTTACAATCTAATTAGGGAGACGAGATATAGGTATCTCAGAAAAATTCATTTTCCGTATAAATTAAAAATGCAAACAAAATTTCAAGGGCTTAACCCTACTTATGGGAAGGGAATTATTATGAGAAACTTAGAGCTCAGAAATTGTTTGCATGGACATACACACAGTTAATTACAAATGAGTTATCTATTCATCATACTTCATCATAATAGGCCCCTAAAAGACCACTCCTTGGCAGCATGTAAAAGTTATTAGTACTTAGAAATGTGTACTTGAAAGTAATAAATAAGACACTAGAAAACACTCTTATGGCTGGGGATGAGCTTTAGAGATAAGCTACTCTATGCCTGAGGTCTTGAGAGTTCAAGGGCCTTGCCCACGGTTTCAGAGCTAGTTCATATTCATAGAAGAGTCAGGGCTATCCCCAGGGCCAGATGCCAAGTTCAGTGTTTTTCCCAAAACCCCACATGGATCTATTTCACCTTCTTTGCCAGCCAATGCAAGTTAGTGGATTTTCTACTCTAAATATTGCCTGAAGTAGTAGAAATAAAGTATCCAGAAATCAGAACTAACAGCAGCCGGATTTACACACCTCAGTTATAACAGCTTATACACCTCAGTTACAACAGCTTATACACCTCAGTTACAACAGCTTATACACCTCAGTTGCAACAGCTTATACACCTCAGTTACAACAGCTTATACACCTCAGTTACAACAGCTTATACACCTCAGTTACAACAGCTTATACACCTCAGTTGCAACAGCTTATACACCTCAGTTACAACAGCTTATACACCTCAGTTGCAACAGCTTATACACCTCAGTTACAACAGCTTATACACCTCAGTTACAACAGCTTATACACCTCAGTTACAACAGCTTATACACCTCAGTTACAACAGCTCATACACCTCAGTTATAACAGCTTATACACCTCAGTTACAACAGCTTACCTGTTTGAACTTCACTCTTTCTCATTTCCCATTCATCCTGTAAACTCTGCCCCTGGTCAATCTACCTAAAAGGTTGCTTTTAACAAGTCATTATCACTTCCTTCCCTCACCTTTGGAATAGAGCTCCTATCCAGGCAAACAAGACTCTCCGTATTTTTGAGAGGTCCCCAAACCACAATATTCTCAGCTACCTGTCCTCAGAAATTGAGCCCCCTATTCCAGCTAGATGGACAGAATCATGTCAGAAGAGCAAAGAAACTGTCAAGCTGTTCTTTGCCTTGCTAATACAGAAGGCGGCACAAAGCAGCCTATTTGTCTTCCCAACATCAACCCTAAAGGTGAGCTACAGTCCAGCCCCACTGAGAAGTTAAAGCTGTCTCTTTCATAAACACAGCCAAGTTCTTTATACTTCCCACCTATGCTGCCTATGTGAGGAATGAACCAGACACTCACTGGAAGCAAGACTTGGCTCACTCAGAGTACAACAAGCTCTCCCTTGCAGATGTGAATTCATACTTTACTGTACATTTTGTGACTTTGTAGCCTTCATCTATGAAATTTCATTCCCTTTCAGACCTTGCCTTCACAAAGGAGGCCCCAATATCTTGACTCCAACAGTAATGATCAGCACACACACCTCCAGTCATTGGAACCATTACTCTGAGTGTCTTGTAGCCCCGTTATAAATTTTGCCACACACTTACAAAATCTCAGCTCAATATTCCAGGCCCAAACAGGAGACAGGATGGCAAACGTTCAGAGAAAGGTTTGATTTTGTATCATCTTGATGATGTTTAACATCATGATCTTTGAGACTATAGCAACAAGTGGCCCAATGTGCAATGAAGCATCCCCACATTAAGCATCATCTCCCCACTTTTTTGCACAAATAAGTAGTTTTCTTAGAGTGCTCTCATCACCTTCTCCAACTGGTTTTCATCATTAACTGCATGGGACAATCTAAAGCACTATTCATAATTTCATACTTCATAATGTTGAAACCAAAGGGAAGATCTAAAATTTCTCTCAAACAATTTTTAGTTACAAAACACACAGTAAGTATCTTGCTTAATAGACAACTATCTACCTAAACAAAATGGCCAAAACTAAGAATGCTAGGCAGCACCAATGGACACCGCCTAGCCCATGACTGCAGGAGGTGAATTTAATACAGTGATTCACAGTCACATTCCCCAATGAATAGCCACATGGATATCTGTCACCTATTTGATGATTACTACTCTATGTTACACATCTTATAATTTCAACCTATATGTGGACATTTACATACAGTATTAAACATTTATGCTATCCAAATCTACTATCTGAATTGGAGCTTAAAGAGAGGCATTACGGTTTCATATAGCATCTAAATCTAAGTAAAAAGATGTCATATTGTAAAGATGAGAGATCACAACCTTTGGTTTCATGAAAAATAAAAGATAAGAGCTATACGCATGGAGATAATTAGTGATATTTAGAGCAATTCTTTTCAAGAATGTTTAAATATGCAAACTGTGCAGTGAAAGCAAAAAAACTGAGTCTTCCCCTGACCTCAGGTGAGGCTGCGGTTCAGCACCACACTCCCAATATTCAGTAGATGGCTGATGGGAAGAAAAAGAAATAAGCTTATTTAAATGCTGATGGGTTTTGGTATGTCATTTAAAGCAATGATATATTTGGGTTATAAAACAAAATAATATGCCTGAGTTTT
Organism: Homo sapiens; assembly: GCF_000001405.40. Taxonomy (NCBI): domain Eukaryota; kingdom Metazoa; phylum Chordata; class Mammalia; order Primates; family Hominidae; genus Homo; species Homo sapiens. Next base: position 204,568,977 of record NC_000002.12, on the reverse strand, counting down.
CCTGCAATTTTTTTTTTTTTTTCCTGAGACAGTCTCACTCTGTCACCCAGGCTGGAGGGCAGTGGCGCAATCTCAGCTCACTGCAACCTCTGCCTCCCAGGTTCAATTGATTCCCCTACCTCAGCCCCCCGAGTAGTCGGGATTAAAGGCACACACCACCACATCTGGCTAATTTTTGTATTTTTAGTAGAGACAGGGTTTCACCATATTGGCCAGGTTGGTCTCAAACTCCTGACCCCAAGTGATCCATCCACCTGGGCCTCCCATAGTTCTGGGATTACAGGTGTCAGCCACCGAAACCAGCCTGTAATTTTTTCTTGAATGAAATTTCAATAATTTCTTGTAATTACCTAATTGGTATTCTAACAACATATTTCAAATATTTTAAATAAGTGTTGTAATTGCTGCTTCAGAGAAATCTCTTAACTTGAAAACTGATACATACACCCTCCTTAAATGATCTTAAAAAAATTTTTTTAAAGATTAAGAACAGACTTAAAACATTCCTATTGTCAGAAAAGTACAATTTATTCCTGCCTTCTATTGCCAGTTCTAAATGGTTTCCCAGTCAAGAACAAAACATTCTTCTTTCCCAACTTTAATTCCATGGCAACTGATTTGTTATTTCTTTTTCTGTTATTGTTAAATAAAATCTTTGTTGTAGAATGTGAAAAAACATTTTTTAAGTTCTTAGTAAACAAATTTGTAAATCAAAAGAAATCATTATTTATCCACCTATGGAAAGAGTTTCATGAGAAGCTGAGACCATGTTTCTAATACTATATTTCATCAAGCAGTTCTTCAGGTATGGTCTACAAACCCCTAGGTATCCCAATACCTTTTTTGAAAATCTGCAAAGTCAAAACTCTTTCTCAAGTCTAAAAGGTTATTTGCCCTTTTGATTTGTCATTTCACAGATTTACAATAGTATTTTAAATCTTTTCAAAAATTATTCTAAATATTTTAGTTGTATGAAAACTATAATTTAGAATTTACTATATCATTCTAAAATAAATATCTAACTTTTTATATTTAAAGATGGATTGTTGCCTTAAAAGAGATTAGACACTTCACACCCATTAGAATGGCTATTAAAACAGAAATAAATGTTGGCAGAGATAGGAAGAAATTGAAACCTTTGCTCACTGATGATGGGACTGTAAAATGATACAGCATTGTGGAAGACAGTAGGGGGATTCCTCAAAAAATAAAACATAGAATTACTATATAATCCAGCAATTCTACTTCTGGGTATACACCCGAAAATAGTGAAAGCAGAGAGTAGAACAGACACTTGTACACTCATGTTCACAGTGGCACTATTTGCAATAACCAAAAGTGGAAGGAACCAAGCATCCATCAATGGATAAATGAATAAACAAAATGTGGTACATACATACAAAGAAATATTCTTTAACCTTGATAAGGAAGGAAATTCTGAAACATGATACAACATGAATTAACCAAAGACATTATTACGCTAAATGAAATAATAAAGTCACAAAAGGACAGATAGTGCACGATTCCACTTCTGAGGTATCTAGAGTAGTCAAATTCATAGACAGAAAGTAAATGGTGGTTGTCAGAGCCTGGGGGAGTGGGGAATAGGGAGTTATTATTTAATGGGTATGGAGTTTCAGTTTGGGAAGATGAACAAGTTTTGTAGGTGGGTGGTGGCGACAGTTGCACAACAATATGAATATACTTAATGCTACTGAACTATACACTTAAAATGGAACATTTTATGTTATGTACGTTTTAACGAAAAAAAAATCCAACATAAAAGAGGAGGATTAGAGCCTGGGCACAGTGGCTCAAGCCTGTAATCCCAGCACTTTGGGAGGCTAAGGGGTTGCAGATCACCTGAGGCTGGGAGTTCAAGACCAGCATGGCCAACATGATGAAACCCCGTCTCTACTAAACATACAAAAATTAGCTGGGCGTGGTGGTGGGCACCTGTAATCCCAGCTGCTTGGGAAGCTGAGGCAGGAGAGTCACTTGAACCTGGGAGGCGGAGGTTGCAGTGAGCCAAGATCGCACCACTACACTCTAGCCTGGGAAACAGAGCGAGACTCCGTCTCAAAAAAAAAAAAAAAGAGGTTTAGAAAGCCTGCTTTCCTACCCACAGGTATACATACTTTTTATGCCTAAAGATACTAAAAAAGATGAAACTGACACATTAGAGGCCTCTGATCCATGGAAGGGAAGCAACTACTTAAGAAAAAAAATCAAAACAACCCTGAGGAAAATTATAAATAAACAAAAACATTAACAAAGTTGTCTTTACCTTGTCTTTATAGATATTTAGTAATTTATACTATGTCTTACGCAACAGAATATTTTCAAATAGTTCAGTTGCAACATCATTTTGAAAATAATCACTAAGGATTTAAAGGAAAAGGAATTGATTTTTTTTAATGCAGACATGATGAGAACTTTATAAGACAAACGTTGTTGTAGTTTTTCAAGAGAGAAGAGAAAAAGCCACTGAAAGACCTTATAGGGTATCATACTGCATTAGCTGGAGAAAAACACACAGTAACTGAGACACTAAGAAAACTTTGTACCACTGACATTGCTGAAGGCCTGCTGGATAAGTTAGTTTAAAAAAAACATGGCAGTGCCATTTCCTAATGACACAGTAACTCCTCAAATGAAAGGTTTGTCTACAAACATGACGACTGAGTTCACATCCCAACTGCAGAGCTGTACCTTTGCCTTACAAATGGATTATAAAATGACTAATTGGTGCTGATGCTGATTGAAGATTTTTTTTAAATGTGAAATTCTGAAAATAAACACTGGTGCTTAAACAGTCAATGTGTCTAATAACTTTTGGAATCTCATGGTTTATCCTTGAAACAACTATGTTCAACACTGGCACTACTGATGCCTTAGCTTGAATGGAGGTAGTGACACTAAACTATACTAGCAGTCATTGTATTAATATTATTCACTGCCACTCATTGGTAGTTAAAAAATAATGTAAGCATGCCCTTGATGAAGCAGGTAAAATTTCATTATCTCTTGACCTTTGATTTCACATGTTTTTGACATTGTGTGTAAGGAAATGGGAAGTACACATAAAGCATTCTGCCGCATACTGAAGTACAGTGGTCACCTCAGAGAAAAGCACTCCTCTGATTGATTGACTGACTGAGCTGCAGGCTGAACTAACTGGTTTTTTTATGGTGCACCATTTTTGCTTGAAGGGAATGACTGGCAGATGAACTCTGGATATTTATTCTTGAGATTTTGATAGGTATTTCTTGAGAATGAATGATGTACACCTCGGCACTTGAAGGAAAACAGATGACAGCATTTGTTGTCAATCATAATCCAAAAATTAAAAATTTTTAACACCTGTATCCACCACTGTGAGCTTGATAGCTTCTCAATACTTAGATGTTTCTGATGAAATTGATAGTAATGTTAATATGCGTAGTTTTTGATATTATATAATGAAATATGTCAACGTTTGGAAAACTGATACAACTCAGTGAACTAATAGTTTCCAAATGACCAATGTATGGTATTAAATCACACAGGAATACAAGATCAGTCAAAGTACCACATGAACCAATGCATTGTAATGGAGTATGAATATTTCATTGGTTGTGATTCCAAATTCAACATTGCAATGAACCTTTAAGAAACCATGTTGAAATGTCACTCCCATGATTATGTTGTATTATATAATACTCCGTGTTGCGAGCTGACTTGCTCTAGAGACTCCTTGCTGGCTGGATAAAGTAAGCAGTTGGGTTAAGAAAGCCCACATGACAAGAAACTGCAGGTGACCTCTAGGAAAGAAGGGTGGCCTCCAGGAGCTGAAGGTGGCCTCTAGCTAGTAGCCAGAAAAAAGCTAGGCCCCTCAATCCTACAGAAACAAGGAAAGCGTTCTGCTAGCAACCTGAGTTAGCTTGGAGCAGATTCTTCCCAGTCAAGCCTCCAGATGAGAGCATAGCCTAGGCGATATCTTGATTGCAGCCTGGTGAGTCTAAGAAAAGGACCCAGCTAAGCTGTGTGCAGACTGCTAACCCATAGAAACTGTGATATAATAAATGTATTTTTAAGCAAGAAAAAGAAACTATAACTTACTGAATTTTCATGTAGTATATCTACAAAAAGCATATCTACAATTATCTGACGAAGCTATTAAAATGCTTCTCCCTTTCCAACTACATATCTGTATGAGGCAGGATTTTCTTCATATATTTAAATCAAAACAACATTGCAACAGATTGAATGAGAAAGCAGATTTGAGAATCCAGCTAATAAGCCAAACATTAAAGAGATTTGCAAAAAAATGGTATATAGTGCTATGGTTCTCACCACATTTTTTTTTGTTTTGTAGTTATTTTTCCTAAAAATAAGTATTTTAACTTGTAATGGGCACTTTGTTATTTTAAATCAATTGAACATATTTTTTAATTTCTCATTTTTGATTTATAATATGATAAATATAGATATAACGCACATGAAACGTTCCCTCAGGTCTTCTAAGAAAATATGAGGGCAAAGGGGTGTTAGGATCAACAAATTAAGAACTACTACAATGCTTGTACTTCCATCATCTCTGCCACATGATACACTCTCCCTCATCCTCTACTGCATTTGTCTAAATTCTGTCCATTTTCCCACTTGGCCATTCCAGCCTACTGCAGGCTCTCTTCCTTCTGAGTGCCCAGGAAACTCATCTGGCACCTGCTTATGGCTTTCTTCATTTCAAAATGTATGCATGTGAAGCCCCGAAGGAAAGGAACTGAGCTACGTGGGGGACATGACACATGCTCCAAAACACTCCACCTGCCACCTGTAAAAGAACGTAATTACAGACTGAATAGCAATGTAATCCATACCAGCCACTGGGCTTCAATCAATGCTTAATAAAGCAGACCACTGGCCGGGCGCAGTGGCTCACGCCTGCAATCCCAGCACTTTGGGAGGCTGAGGTGGGCAGATCACAAGGTCAGGAGATCGAGACCATCCTGGCTAACACGGTTAAACCCCGTCTCCACTAAAAATACAAAAAAATTAGCCGGGCATGGTGGCGGGTGCCTGTAGTCCCAGCTACTCGGGAGGCTGAGGCAGGAGAATGGCGTGAACCCGGGAGGTGGATCTGGCAGTGAGCCGACATAGCGCCACTGCACTCTAGCCTGGGTGACAGAGCAAGACTCCGTCTCAAAAAATAAAAAATAAAGCAGACCACAAAGGATGTGACATGAGATAGAATTTAGGACATACATGAGTCTCAAAAGTGTCAACTGAAAAGGTAAATGAGAACAAGGAAGCAGATACCAAAATGTTTACATGGAGAAGGTAGTAGATAAGTCAATCACACCAATAACCTTCAATTCTCAATAATACAGAATGATTATTATATGTGGACTATTTTGGAGCAAAAATATAAGAAATAAAGAGAGTAACATTGTAAGAAAGGCAATGGGGAAATCAACAGAATTCCCCCAATGTGTCTTAGTGGAAAAGCAAGAAAAAATGCATTAAAAACAAATTGCCATTATTATGGGTTGAAGTGTGTTATCCTCCAAAACACAGTATGTTGAGATCCCAGTCCCCCCCACCCATACCTATGAATGTGACCTTATTTAGAAACAGAGTCTTTACAGATGGAATCAAATTAAGACGAGGTCATTAGGGTGGACCCTAATCCAGTATGACTGGTGTCCTTATAAAGGGAGAAGAGAGAAAGAGAGAGAGAGAGAGAGAGAGAGAGAGAGAGAGAGAGAGAGAGAGAGACAGCGGGAAGACGGCATGTAAAAACGGAGGCAGAGATTGGAGTTATGCTGCCATAGCTCAGAAATGCCCTGGGCTGCCAGAAGCTGGAAGAAGCAAGAAAGAATCCTTCTCTAGAGGTTTTGAAGGAAGCGTGGCCCTGCCAACACCTTAAATTTGAATCTACAGACTTTAGAACTGTGAGAAAATAAATTTCTCTTGTTTTAAACCACCCAGTTTGTGGTACATTGTCATGGCAGCCCCAGGAAACACAGAGCGATAGAGTGAGGGACTCCTTACGACCCACAGCTGCATTTCCCAAGTGGCCCTTCCTCAGCCACAGACAAAAGTGAAACAAGAGAGAGAAAAATCGGAAATGCAAATCTAGTTACAGCAACGAAAAAAAAAAATTTTTTTTATTAGAAATATTTGAACTGCAGTTTTTTTTTAAGGTTCTGGGAAAATGTTTCTGATCAAACACTGCTGTCAAAACTCAAGCCCACTGAATCTCTATAAATGTGTCTATAAATACAGAGGCAAGGATTATTTATCCATCTTACACTTCCTCATCTCTTTGCTACAAAAGGAAGTAATCCAGACCTAATATTTAAAGTTACCAATACTATCACCATGTCATGACAAAAGAAAAACAAGATGACAAGTAAAACTCTTTCAGTTTCTCGAAGATTTTATAAAGCCACAGCGACTTCTGGGCCAGGATGACTCTTAGCTCACACACTAGCCATACACAAGTCTCAAGATCCAAAAATTATCTCTATTACACATATAAGGTACGTGGCATTATAATCCACAGAAAAATTCACCTATTAACACCTACAATGTCATTTGATTTTAGGAGTTTAAGTTCATTTTAGAAGCTTAACTTCAGCCTCACACTTTGGATAAATCTATAAGCAATCAGATCTTAGCGCTGTGAGGATTTCTGAGTCACTTGATCTGATGGTCCATCCTGTGTCCATAAACATCAGGAAGCTCCAGTGGTTTTTTTACTATGGGCCCTAACCCATTAGTGAAATCAATTTAGCACACCCCAACTACTTTTTCAGTGAAACAAAATAGAATTTAGAAATCTGAGGGCATCATTCACAGCAAAGGTAAGTACTCTCCTGAAACTTTTGTTTCAGGCTGGGGGTGGGGCACGGGGGTTTGTTGTATGTGTGTGTGTATGTAGATACTGAGTCATGCAGGCAAATATTTCTGTCTTTATTAGTCCAAACTTTGGCAGTAAACCATCAAGGGACAATGGTCCTAACAGCGGCAATCCCTTGCCATTGTTTGAGACCCAACAGGCCAGGTAAAGGAGTGACCTTAATACAGGGGAGATGGCCGGGCGCGGTGACTCACGCCTGTAATCTCAGCACTTTGGGAGCCCGAGGCTGGTGGATCACCTGAGGTCAGGAGTTCAAGACCAGCCTGCCCAACATGGCAACACCCCGTCTCTACTAAAAATACAAAAAGTTAGCCGGGCGTGGTAGCGTGCACCTGTAATCCCAGCTACTCGGGAGGCTGAGGCAGGAGAATCACTTGAACCCTGGAGGCGGAGGTTGCAGTGAGCCAAGATCGCACCACTGTACTCCAACCTGGGTGACAAGAGCAAAACTCCATCTCAAAAAAAAAAAAAAAAAATACAAGGGAGATGAGTACATAGGGCTAGAGCTGTGGACTTTAGGAAAGGGAAGCAGCCAGCCCACAGTGACCTGGCAGGAATGGAGCTGCCCACCCTCTTGTTCTCTCACTGGGGCTTCCCCAATGGCCGACCCTAACTAGAAGCCAGAGGGCAAGAAAGTCCACTCAGCTCAGCCTCCTGGGTCACAGAGGGGACTGGAAAAGGGACAAGAGCGGGTCCGGAGGAACAAAGGAAGATTTCCAGCCACTGTGACTACCAAAGTCTAAAAGCCACCCATATCAATTTATACTTTCATTAACTGAGCCTAACAACTTTTATTTCTGAGCACCAGGTTGTTCCCACACCTGCCCTCTAATCCCAACCTTGAATCAAGGCTCTAATCCAATGCTGAACAACTGGTGCAAAAGATTGGCATCTTTACGAACTCAGGATTTCTGATTGCTCCAGGCCCTCACACTGCTCACCAACCCTTTCATCTGTTCTCAGTCTCCCACCTCTCCTATCCCTATCTATCAGGTTCTGTAAAGCAAAGGCCATGTCTTAGTTATCTCGGAACCCCAGCCTGGGTGGCCAGAACACAGGCATATTCACTGAAATGTCTCAGAGACTGCGCCCTCTCCCCAGTTCCACCTACACTTCTCTTCCCACTGAGAGTCAACCCCCAAGCCTAATTACTTTGCCCCCTAAACCTCAAAGCTCATTTCTGCTTCTGCTTCAATACATCTAACCTCCACTCCAACAGCAGGACCTGAGCCAGTTCCTCCACCTCCAGTCCCAGCTCCCTCTATCTCCACTCTCTAGCGCAATCAATAAAAAAGGTAGGTCCAACAATATCTCCATCCTGCCCCAAATGCTTCCTTAACTCTGGCTTTGACCCTTACTCCTTCCCTACTACCCGTCCCACAACTGTCCTGGAGAAACTTCCCACAATTCTATCCTCTTCTCCCCAACCTCCTCCTTCAAACAAAACATACATGTTTACCTTCAAACAGCGGTAGGCTGCCCCCACCCCTCCCTCATGTCCTGCCCCATCTTCCACTCCTACTTCCCTGGCAACTGTCCATGCATCCTTCAAACCCCTGGCCACGTACAGCTCATGGAGTGAAACCTGCTCAACTTCCCCACCTCCCCTTGCCCCAAAGCACCTTGATCATACCATGCCATTTGTTGCCATGCTCCTCTATGCCTGTTAAATCTATAAGCCCACTGGTGGCAGAAGCTGTGTCTTATTTTACTCTATATCCTCAGCAAAAAACACAATACTGACCCAAAGTCACTGTCTAAATCTTCCTCCATGTGACTAAAGTGACTTTTAGATGATCAGATTGTTACAGGCAATCATCACACAGGATCCCCTAATTGGAAGTCTGACTGAGACCTCACTGATTACATGGCACATTTTACTATTATACTTTTAAGTTCTAGGGTACATGTGCACAACATGCAGGCTCATTACATAGGTATACATATGCCATGCTGGTCTGCTGCAACCATCAACCTGTCATTTACATTAGGTATTTCTCCCAATGCTATCCCTCCCCAGACCCCCCACCCCACAACAGGCCCCAGTGTTTGATGTTCCCCACCCTGTGTCCAAGTGTTCTCATTGTTCAGTTTCCACCTATGAGTGAGAACCTGGAGTGTTTGGTTTTCTGTCTTTGTGATAGTTTGCTCAGAATGATGGTTTCCAGCTTCATTCATGTCCCTGCAAAGAATAGGAACTCACCCTTTTTTACAGCTGCATAGTATTCCATGGTATATATGTGCTACATCTTCTTAACCCAGTCTATCATTGATGGACATTTGGGTTGGTTGCAAGTCTTTGCTATTGTGAATAGTGCTGCCATAAACATATGTGTGCATGTGTCTTTATAGCAGCATGATTTATAATCCTTTGGGTATATACCCAGTAATGGGACTGCTGGGTCAAATGATATTTCTAGCTCTAGATCCTTGAGGAATTGCCACACTGTCTTCCAAAATGGTTTAATTAGTTTACATTCCAACCAACAGCATAATAGCATTCCTATTTCTCCACATCCTCTCCAGCATCTGTTGTTTCCTGACTTTTTAATGATGCCATTCTAACTGGTGTGAGATGGTATCTCACTGTGGTTTTAATTTGCATTTCTCTGATGATCAGTGATGACAAGCATTATTTCATGTGTCTGTTGGCTGCATAAATGTCTTCTTTTGAGAGGTGTCTGTTCATAACCTTTGCCCACTTTGTGATGGGGTTGTTTTTTTCTTGTAAATTTGTTTAAGTTCTTTGTAGATTCTGGATATTAGCCCTTTGTCAGATGGGTAGATTTCAAAAATTTTCTCCCATTCTGTAAGTTGCCTGTTCATTCTGATGGTAGTTTCTTTTGCTGTGCAGAAGCTCTTTAGTTTAATTAGATCCCATTTGTCAATTTTGGCTTGTGTTGCCATTGCTTTTGGTGTTTTAGTCATGAAGTCCTTGCCCATGCCTATGTCCTGAATGGTATTGCCTAGGTTTTCTTCTACGGTTTTCATGGTTTTAGGTCTAACATTTAAGTCTTTAATCCATCTTGAATTAATTTTTGTATAAGGTGTAAGGAAGGGATCCAGTTTCAGCTTTCTATATCTGACTAGCCTGTTTTCCCAGCACCATTTATTAAATAGGGAATCCTTTCCCCATTTCTTGTTTTTGTCAGGTTTGTCAAAGATCAGATGGTTATAGATGTGTGTTGTTATTTCTGAGGCCTCTGTTCCGTTCCATTGGTCTATATCTCTGTTTTGGTACCGGTACCATACTGTTTTGGTTACTGTAGCCTTGTAGTATAGTTTGAAGTCAGGTAGCATGATGCCTCCAGCTTTGTTCTTTATGCTTAGGATTGACTTGGCAATAAGGGCTCTTTTTGGTTCCACATGAACTTTAAAGTAGTTTTTTCCAGTTCTGTGAAGAAAGTCATTGGTAGCTTGATGGGGATGGCACTGAATCTATAAATTACCTTGGGCAATATGGCCATTTTCACGATATTGATTCTTCCTATCCATGAGCATGGAATGTTCTTCCACTTGTTTGTGTCCTCTTTTATTTTGTCGAGCAGTGTTTTGTAATTCTCCTTGAAGAGGTCCTTCACATCCCTTGTAAGTGGGATTCCTAGGTATTATATTCCCTTTTTAGCAATTGTGAATGGGAGTTCACTCATGATTTGGCTGTTTGTCTGTTATTGGTGTATAGGAATGCTTATGATTTTTGCACACTGATTTTGTATCCTGAGACTTTGCTGAAGTTGCTTATCAGCTTATGGAGATTTTGAGCTGAGACAATGGGGTTTTCTAAATACACAATCATGTCATCTGCAAACAGGGACAACTCAGAGAGTTTAACATCCTCAACTTGAGGCAGCGGACAAGAGCAATGCAGGACATATTTATCTGGAAGATACTTGGCACTGCATCTGATAGAGACTAAACTGAGAGAAAACCTTTTTAACCGGCCTGTCTTGATATCCTGCAATTCCACCACATTGCAATCCAAAAAACGAGAGTTCAGCAACAGGAGGCAGGCTCAATTTAGTAGCTCCTAAGACAGAGATATCATGCCTGTCAAAAATAAAGAATCCATCAAAATTGAGGTAGTCCAGATAATTTTAAAATCAACATGAAATTAATGAATGCTGAAAATCAAACATTATTCAAACACAAGAGACTGCATCACACAAACCTGCATGAAGCAAAAACATTATGTTGCTTCATGGAAAATCCATAACTACAGAGCACTCAGTCTGAAAAATCTAAGAAGCAAGTCAACCTGTCAGAATTTGAAACTGTTATTTAAGACAATCAGTGTGGCAGATATAATGGACCACTAAACTACTGCCTACAGCAAATGTGGAGATGATAAGGCATTTCAAGATAATCAAGAGAAAAGTTGCACTTAGATTTAAAAATATGTATATCTACCATATATAGACTCCAAACTTACAAACGCCATGTTGACTACAAGCTCATTCTCATTTTTATTTTAAAAATGTGGAATTTGACAAAGTTTAGCAAGCATTTATAGTATCTACACTATATATCAAATACTGTGCTAAAAACAGAGATAAGAAAATAAAGAAGACTCACTCTCTGTTCTTGGGATGTAGAGACGATAAGGAGGAAGCAGATCCAAGAGAGATAACTTCAAAGCATCAAAGGAAATTTCTGAGCGACTGGACATGTGGTGGAATATGAGGGAGGTGTGAAGGATATCCAGGTTTCTAGATTAGACAACCAAGTGAATGATGGTGCCATGTGCGCAGTAACAGGCTACAAGGAATGGGGCAAGCAGATTCACAGAGAATAGAGTGGGCTTGAATTGTCTGTGGGACATCCAGGTAATGAAGTCCAGAGGCAGGCAGATATTGGGATCTGGAGCAAGTTCAGGGCTAGAAGTGTGTATTTACGGGTAGGTGAAGCCATGTGGTGAATGAGATCCCATGGAGGACGAGGCCAGAACCCCAGTGTACCAACATACAAGAAGATGGCAGAGAGGGCATCTGTGAAGACTCAAAGAAGACAGATGTTTAAGAATCCTGAAAAGCCCCTGGGTGAGACTCTGTCTCAAAAAAAAAAAAATCCTGAAAAGCCCATGAGTAGAGAGTTTTAAAAGGTGGGACATCATCAAAAACAAGAAGTAAAAGGTAACCATGGCCTTTAGCTACTAGATCTTGATAATTTTGTTGAAAACAGTTTTGCAGGGGAATGTGTGAAAACCAGCATAACCAACCAAGTGATGAGGCCTTAACAGACATACTACAAAGTTAGGTAATTTATTCCCCAATTTTCTGAAAATGCTCCATTTTAAGTTTATACACATATTTTTAAACTCATGCAAATTAAGCAAAATGTGAGTATATTCGTAACAAAATGGAGAGCTACATTAAGACAGCATGAAAATCCCTTAGGGCAGCACCCAAGGACCATCAGCATCTGGTCCAAATTAGTGTGTGCACCCACTCCTCTCCAGGCTACGCTCAACTTTTCACAACTCCCTCAACCACTTTTTTCCCTCCACCTAGAATGTCTTATCTCACTTTTCTCGTGGAAAATTCTTCATCATCTTTCAAAACGGCTTTAGTGTCTTCTCTTTCAAAGGGCATTATTTGTCTATATTGTATCCCTGCAAACATACCACTAAAGCAAAACTGGCTTATTCACGTGTGTGCCTTATCATCCAGGAGGCCATGAAACTCATCAAAACCCGAGAGTGGCTGCTTTATCTTCACAGCTAGTAGAGCCATTCTAGCTGAGGCACTAGACATGTGAGTGAAGATGCCATCTTGAGCATCCCAGACCTAGAAAACATCACACAGAGACTTCCCCCATGTGCTTGGTCCAAATTCCTGACCTACACAATCATGTTGTTGAGTGGTATTTTCAGCTACTACATTTTGGTGATAGTTTGTAATACAACAAGAGATAGCTGCAACAGGTGGTGATGGATGCATGGTAAAATAATTATTTCTTTGAAAAGAACTTACTGATGCCCTACTATGACCTGGTGCTCTTCTAGAATCTAAGGGTTCAGAAATGAACAAAAGAGACAAATATCTCTACCTTTATTGAAGTTAATATTCTAGTGATGGAGACAAGAAATACAGTTAAAATAAGTGGTATGGTAGGAAGAATATGGTCTGTAGATAGAAGTAAATCAGGGAAGGGCAATAGAAAGGGTTCTCAGAAGGTTATAATCATAAATAGGGTGGTTAGGAAGGCTTCCTGAAGAAGAAAACAATTATTTAAGATGGAAACTATGAAAGAAGCAGATAGGTGGATAACTGAGAGAAAATATTTTAGGAAGAGAGAAAACGGCACTAGGTAAGAGTCTGTCTGGCATGCTTGAATAACATGACAAGCGATCAGTGTGACTGAGACAGGAGAACAGACAGCTGTGTGGTAGATGATGAGGTCAGAGAGGTCAAATATAGGGTGCTGGAGTCCTCAAGACCTTCCAGGTTCGATGATTCACCAAGAGATCTCAAGGAACTCAGCATATACTCATACTCATGGATATAAATTTTTTTTAAGACGGCATCTTGCTCTGTTGCCCAGGCTGGAGTGCAGTGATGCACTCTCAGCTCACTGCAATCTCCACCTCCCAGGTTCATGCAATTCTCCTGCCTCGGCCTCTCAAGTAGCTGGGATTACAGGTGTGTGCCACCACGTCTGGCTAATTTTTGTATTTTTAGTAGAGACGGGGTTTCACCATGTTGCCCAGGCTGGTCTTGAACTCCTGAGCTCAGGTGATTCGCCCACCTCAGCCCCCAAAGTGCTAGGATTACAGGTGTGAGCCACCGTACCAGGCCCTTCATGGATATAATTTATTAGTGAAAAGATACAAAGCCAAATCAGCAAAACAAACTGGCATTCAGAGCGAAGTCTGCAGGAAACCAGGCACAAGCTTCCAAGGGTCTTCCCTTAGTGGAGAGGACTTGCTTAATTCCCCCAGCAGTGAGTTCTTACCACATGTGCGAAATGTTGCCTACCAGGAACACTCATTAGTGACTAAGCACCCAAGGTTTTTACTGCAGACTGATCACATAGGCACCTTCTGCTTAGCATATACAAAAATTCCAGACTCCCAGAAAAAGAGCAGGTGTTCAGCATAAGCCATATTGTTTGCAGAAACAGTTTTGCACAGTGAGCCATTCCGATAAGGGAATGATGGTAGCCCTCCACAAATCTAACTTTCCAGATGCCACCAGCCAAGGCCCCGCTTCGCAAGCAGGGCTTTCTAAGGATAGCAGTCTCAGGCCTGCTACATTAACTTTTTCTGCACAGATAGTCAGATCATGTAGCACTTCCAAGGCCATTTAGGAGAGATGTGCACCATTGGAAGATCTTCAGTAGAAGAATGACATGACCTGATTATAATTTTAAATTATCACTCTAGCTTTTGTGTTAAGGAGAGACAGTAATGTGGGAGTCTCGGGGGCAGAAATGGAGACACTAAAGTCTATTTAAAGAAAAAAATAATAAAAATCAAGCTCCAGTATACTAACAGGAAAGAGACTGAAAAGTAGTCAGATTCCAAATCTAGTATGAGAGCAGAGTCAACCAGATTTGCAGAATGACTGTATGTGGATCATGAGAGAAAAACATTGGTCAAGGGTGATGACAAGCATTTCTGGTGAACAGCTAGAAAGATGGCCTTGCCATTTAATGACATGCTTAGATTGTAGGAGGACTTGATTTGGAGTTGGGGATTAGGAATTCATTTGGGGGCATGCTATAAGTGTAAGATGCCTACCAGATGTCCAGGCAAAGGGTCAAGAAAGCCGTATATAGAGCTGGCAGTTCAGGGAAGACACCTGGGCTGGAACTACCCCAGTGGTATTTGGAACCACATTACTGTAAGCAGAGAGAGACAGGTGGAGACTTAAGAATTGAGTCCTGGGGTACTGTAGTGCTAAGACGTAGAGGAGGAAAGAAGGAACAACCAAAGAGCCTGAGAATGGACAATAGATAGGAAAAAAGTCAGGAGAGTGTAGGTTCCAGGAAGCATGTGCTTAAGATGTTTAGTATTTTTAAAATTTTTTTATTTCCATAAATTATTGGGGAACAGGTGGTGATTCATTACATGACTAAGTTCTTTAGTGGTGATTTGTGAGATTTTGGTGCATCCATCACCTGAGCAGTATGCACGGCACCCAGTTTGTGGTCTTTTATCCCTCATGCCCTTCCCACCCTTTCTCCCTGAGTCCCTGAAGTCCTTTGTGTCAGTGAGAACTCCCACTTATGAGTGAGAACATACAATGTTTGGGTTTCCATTCCTGAGTTACTTCACTTGCCGTAATAGTCTCCAATCTCATCCAGGTTGCTGCAAATGCCATTAATTCAGTCTCTCTTTTAATGGCTGAGGTGTATTCCTTTATATATATGTGTGTATATATATATATATATATATATATATATATATATATATATATATGGATATATATAAATATATATCCATATATATGTATATAGCCATATATATACATATATATGTATATAGCCTTATATATACATATATATATATACACACACACACACACACACACACCCCACAGATTCTTTACCCACTCGTTGACTGGTGGGCATTTGGGTTGGTTCCACGCTTTTGCAGTTGCAAAGTGTGCTGCTAAACATGCATGTGCAAGTATCTTTTTCATATAATGACTTATTTTCCTCTAGGTAGATACCCAGTAGTGGGATTGCCGGATCAAATGGTAGTTCTACTTTTAGTTCTTTAAGGAACCTCCACACTATTTTTCATAGTGGTTGTACTAGTTTACATTCCAACCAGAAGTGTTCACTGTTCACCACATCCACACCAACACCTATTTTTTTAAAATTTTTTGATGATGGCCATTCTTGCAGGAGTGAGGTGGTATCACATTGTGATTTTGAGTTGCACTTCCCTGATCATTAGTGATGTTGAGCATTTTTTTCTTGTTTGTTGGCCATTTCTATATCTTCTTTTGAGAATTGTCTATTCATGTCCTTGGCCCTCTTTTTGATGGGATTGTTTGGTTTTTTTCTTGCTAATTTGTTTGAGTTCATTGTAGATTCTGGATATTAGTCCTTTGTCAGATGTATAGATTGCAAAGATTTTCTCCCACTCTGTGGGTTGTCTGTTTACACTGCTGACTGTTCCTTTTGCCATGGAAAAGCTCTCATTTCAAACTATACTATAAGACCATAGTCACCAAACAGCACGGTACTAGTATAAAAATAGGCCCATAGACCATTGGAACAGAAATAGAGAACCCAAAAATAAACCCAAATACTTACAGTCAACTGATTTTCAACAAAGCAAACGAAAACATTAAGTGGGGAAAGGACACCCTATTCAACAAATGGTGCTGCGATAATTGGCAAGCCACATGTAGGAGAATGAAGCTGGATCCTCACCTCTCAACCTTACACAAAAATCAACTCAAAGTGGATCAAGGATTTAAATCTAAGACCTGAAACTACAACATTCTGTAAGATAACATTGGAAAAACCCTTCTAGACATTGGCTTAGGCAAGGATTTCATGACCAAGAACCCAAAAGCAAATGCAATAAAAGCAAAGATAAATAGCTGGGACTTAATTGAACTGAAGGTGTTTAGTATTTCTATCAGTCGAGAAGCATCTAAATCTCACTAAAAATGGCCCAGATTTTTGTTCACTGCTCCTTCTTGGCCCACTCTCCACCCAGTACCAGAGACAGAGGATGTACATCCTCAGCCTGTTGCACCAAAGGTGTAAACTGAGGCCAACCTGGGCTTACTCTCAAACCCAGCTAGTTTTTGTGCTAGTGTCTAGGTGGAGCATTTAAGGTTTAAAGGCTCTCTCTACCACCTGTGGATACCAAAGAGTGGCTGAAGATCCCTTTCTGATGGCAAAGTTCTCAACAGAACTGAGTAGCAATGTCAAGTTAAGGACTGCCTGGGATCTGGTCTTTAAGCCAGTGGTTTCCAAAAGCAGCTGACAGAACCCATCAGAAGAGCATTGGATCTGAACTGTCCACTAAGGCAAGCCATTTGTGGCGATTTACATTTAAATTAAAATTTAAAATTCAGTTCCTCAGTTGCACTAGGCACATTTCAACTACTTAACAACCACATATGTCTAGTGGCTGCCCTCTTGAAAGATGCAGATCTAGAACATCTCTTCATCCCAGAAAGTTCTACTGCACTACACTGCTTTAGATTTTCCAAGAGAGGCCCAAAGCTCTGAATGTTTAACACACTCCTCAGATGTCTTTAACAGTCCACTCATAAAATAGTCTCACAAAAATCTGACAACATTACCATTTGCCCAACTTCTTCAAAGGGAATCTGTAGCACAGAATACCCTGGGAATGAATTCCTGGTTAACTAAGCCACTTGATTAAGCACAGGGCCTCAAGCTACAAATCAGGGCTGTGGCTCCCAATCGCGCACAGGGCAATTAACTCAGCTCAGATAACCAGCCAAACCCGGTTCAGCAAACCCTATGTGCATGGATTATACACAGAGGGTGTGTGGGGATGTGTGTGTGAGAGGGAGAGAAAGAGAAAGAGGAGGGAGGGGAGAGAAGATCCAGGAGCACAAACTCAAATGCCCACCAGCAGGCCAAATAGCAACCATGAATTAAGGCCATAAGTGAGAAAATAAGCACAGAGTAAAAACAGTCAAGCATGATGACAATAACTTATCCTCACTGTTAGGGAAGCAATAATGGAGACTGAAGCATTAATAATTCTTTCTAAAGAGAGCAGAGGTGTCTCAGCTCCAACTGATGGTTGCTATGTGGGAAAGTAAAGCCCAGCATTGTCAGAGCTTCCAATTTGCTTTTCCCCCAAAGAAGATAGGAATCTGGAGTTTTGCATGAAATCTCAAAATATTTAAATGCTGACAACTAAGTCAAAATATAACACTGAGCAGACCTACAAAAATATGTCTGTGGGTCACAGCAGGCCCCACGAGCCCTCTGTTTGCAAACTTAGAAGCTGCTCAATGCAAGCTGAGTAGCAGAACCAAAACCAAGTTGGAAGCATGTGTAATGCTGATGGCGAGTCAGTTCTGTCCACATGCTGTAAAGAAGTGAGGTCTGAATAGGAAATAAAGCACTCAAGTAAGTCAGTGCCCAATCAATTGAAAAGCATTTGAGGAATCCAGTCTGGGCCTAGCTTATGTATACAAGAACCTTAAAATCTATTTAGGTAACAAGGCATCAAAGCCTGAAAAGTTTAGAAATTCAAGAGTTCTAGCCTATTCCTCCAGGCTACTCCCACACATTATCATACCAGATTCTTCTAACTACACAAATTCTCTTAGATTCCGATCCCACAGTTAATCAGGGAATGGAATTGTTAGTCTAATCAGACTACTCCCAGTTCTGGGAAGCTGCCTCAACTTGTAAAACAAACATATTATTCAAAATATCTGAATACAGAAAAGATTCATCTTGAAAACCCTATCAAATATAATTTTTCCTTTCCAAAAAAGGGTGTACTCACATACGCAGTCAGAGCCACAAATTGGCCTTTGTAAATTCCAGCATGCCTGCTATTCCACGAATTCAATGCTCTTATTTCTCATTCATTCCAACCCCAGAACACACTATACATCCTCATTACTAGACAAGCCTTTCCCTTATTCACTTCATCCTCAGTGAATACACACACACACACACACACACACACACACACACACAGTCAGCCCTCCGCATCCATGCATTCCGCATCTGCGGATTCAACCAAACCCCAGATCAAAAATATTTAGAAAAAAAACTACGTGTACTGAACACACACACACAATTTTCTTGTCACTATTCCCTAAACAGTATAGTATAACAACTGTTTAAATAGCTTTTACATTGTATTAGGTATTATAAATAATCTAGAGATGACTTAAAGTATACAGGAGGATGTGTGTAGATTACATGCAAACACTGCAGCATTTTATATCAGGAACTTGAGCATCTGCAGATTTTGGTATCCGAGGGAAGTCCTGGAATCAATCCCCTATGGATACTAAGGGACAACTGTCTATATAAAATGAATGTTCACTTTAAGCAATTATTTGAGCACCTTCTATAGGAAGAATTCTTTAAGGGTAGGAGTAGGAGTATTCCTAATGGCACTAAAAGGTCAATAAATACTCTAACAAATTCCATGCTTTTATTTGTTTGTTTTTTTTTAATGAGAAAAGGCCAGAAATGTCAAAATTCATTTTGAAAAACAATGTGTAATAAATTCACTTTCTGTAAATCAGTGAAAGACACTTAAAAGGTTTGAATCCCTAGACAGCAAGGTTTTAAGCCCTGCACTTCATAATAATAATCCCATTAACAAATAACATGTATTGTGCTTATTCTGTTGCTTAATAACAGATTGGTGTGTAGATATCTAAGACACAGTATCTGCCATCAAAAGAGTTTAAAATCCAATGAGTTCAGCCATACGAAAAGATTAGAGTAGATTAGTGATTCTCAACCTTGGCTGGGCATTAGAATCACCTGGAGTGCTTTTTAAAATACCTATGCCCAGGACCCACTCCTAACCCAATGAATGAGAATCTTGGGGGAAGGGACACAGGTATTTGTAATGTTTAAAATGTTTAATGTGAAAATTAGAGGTTACTGAAGTTCAGCCAGGGTTGAGAGTCCCTGCAGGATACAGCTCAATTACCCATTCACCTGTGACACATAATTTTGATGATAAATTTAACTAATTACTCAACGATCCCCACCATAAGCACATAAGAAGACAATCACTTCTCCACTAACAACTTCACTAAATTGGATTTGGAGGCTGGGACACTGATAAAGTGTCAGGATTCGGAGATAAGCAATCCCACAGTTCTCACCTCTCAGTCCACCACGTTTCCAATGGAGTTCATCAAATGGTGGCAGGAACCTCAAAGGCCCAGACTTCAGAGCATAATTAAAGCCTTCCCAAAAGCTCCCCCTGTATCTTCAGGATCGCATCAACCTCTGGCCTTATCTGATGTTGATTCAGGGGGTTCCCAACATTCCACAAATAGGTTTTCTTTGTTCTCAACAGGTAGTGGTTACTTCTCAGACGCTGTCCACGAAATATAGAATGGCATTCTTGGACTTCACTTACTTTCCAAACTTTAGAAACCTCAACTTCATCCTCAATCTTGAAACCTGTCTTTCTCCCATCTACATTACTCAGTGCCTCAGAAAATAATGGACTTACTTTACATTCATGTTCCCACCAAATTTGGTTCTTTATAGCACTCGCCACCTGGATGTCTAAGATCTTGCCCATTTTCCCATTTGTAGTTAGACTGAGGAATATTTTTCATAGTTGATTTGCAAATCCTACAATATTTGCCTCAGAAACTAGATTTTCTACATGTAGACCTCATAAAATATATAATTAAGAGAAACTTGTGGATATCCCATCACTATTCCAGAAGCAAAATTGCTATTTTTAGGTTGATGTGATATAGCAGTTAGTAGATGGAAATGTCTTTTTAAATCAAGCATTAAAAAACAAACAATATGGATAAATTCCAATTCATAACAACATACATAGTACTAGGCTATGCAGTTAATGGCTGAGAGCAAACATCTAAAGACACAGTTCCTGGTTTCTAAACCCAAATCTACGACTTACTTGTCATGTCTCTGTGTCTCTTTTTCCCCTGATTTGTAAAATGGGGATAATAATAGTACCTATCTCCTAAGGTTGTTGGGAGAAATAAGTCATAAGCATGAAGTTCCTAAAACAGGGCCTGCACAGAATAAGCACAATACATGTTACATGTTAGTGTGATTATTATTACGAAGTGCAGAAATTCACTGATTTACAGAAAGTGAATTTACTACACATTGTTTTTCAAATTGAATTTTGACATTTCTGGCCTTTTCTCATTTAAAAAAAATGAATAAAAGCATGGAATTTGTTAGGGTATTTATTGACCTTTTAGTGCCATTATGAATACGATTTAATATTCGTTAAATCTTGTTATGATTACAATATTATTTAAAATAAAACTATGGGAGAAGAATACTTGGGGAGGGGAAAAATCATCACCTACTACTTCTTAAAATGAAATTTTAAAAGTGAAAATAAGAGGAAGGATTTATATGCTGCAGGTGACCTTTAAATGTCACATTCACTAATATATAAATGTAAACAGAAAAATATAAGTCTGGTAATAATAGTAAACTGATCAATGCAACTACATTGTTCTGTGATATTATAAGTTACGTTTCCATTCCAGAATGTCAATATTTTAACACCTTTTAAGATCAAATTATAGTGAATTAAATATCAGCTGGTTAGTTCTCTTCATGTTATTTACAAGCTTGTAGTTTATCTCTTACTTGGATAGCCCCCTGTACTAAACTTCTAAATATACAAGATTTGAGGGCATAAATTATTTAATAGTTAAAAAGTAACTTCAATTTGGTAAGACAATCCCTCAATGAGATCTATTTCAATAATCTGTCTGGAGTAATGTTGTTACTATTAATCTTAGCTCACTTTCAAAAGTTAGTGAAATATGATTTAATAGACAATTGGTTACTTGTTTAAACATCAGTTAACTGAATTACATGATTTAAACAGCAAACACTATTTTAACAATGGCAAACACATATGCACGTGCACACACACACATAACATTGCAGTTGATTTTCACACAGCTTTATAAACCACTTTAATTTTTTCCCTCCTCCACCTCAATTCCATCAGTAAAGAGTTCATCTTTAGGGGTTATATTTAATATATTAATAGACCTTTCATTGTACTCTCCTCCAGTTCTTGAGTATCCAAAGCAATATGCACATGTATCTGTCCAGAGCTGAATTTTTTTTCTGTATAATAATTCTTCATGGAGGCAAAGAAGGTGCAAGTATTTTCTTAAACCCCTAAGCTATACACTTGTAAGAAACAATTACTTTTATGCTTTGGATAACCGATAAGAAGTTAAAAGAAATTAAAACTTACGTTTTTCCATCACTAGATTGACCAACCCACTATTTTAGTCACATGGCACGAGACCAAATATTAAGAGAACCATTGGCCGCTAAAACAAGAATTTGTGACTTGCCCTGTTTGAGGAGCATTTGGGACATACAAAATGTTCCATGTGAAGATTCAAAAAATTAAAAGGTTATTCAATGCCTTCCTTTAAAAGTTTCACTGAGGAAGTCCCAGAGGCCCAATGTTACCCAAATACTTGGCATAAGTTCTAGTGCCAGATATTTTCTCAACATGTATTGCACACTTAAAAAAAATTGTCACTTAATTTATACTTGTTCCTGACTTCAGCTACAGAGCTAGGAACGTCTTTCTCATTTTAATAGTCACTCAGGACCTGACAACAGCCCACACACATAGTAAATGGTCATAGAATCTGTGACATTAAACTGAAAACACTCAAAATGTAGACAGGTTGGCTAAGCAAACAGCATGCTCCCACCTGTGTTCCTGCCCAAGTCACTGAGACAGGGCAGCTCACAAGGCTGAAACTCCAAAGGCCCCATCAGTTGTAACTTCCGAGTATGTGTCACTTGCACAATCAACTTTCTAACTCCAAGGAGCCTAAGTGAGGCGGGCCTTAATGGGTCAAAAATCACACTTAGGTGAGCAGCACCTTTTAAGACGTTCCCTCAAACAAGTTCTAAACCAGTGGTTCTCAAACTTCAGTGGGCATTCCAATCACCTGGGGATCTCGTTAAAGAGCAGATCCTGAGTCGGTGGGTTTGGAGAACTGCCCATATTGGGCAGTTCTAAGAAGCTCCCAAGAGATTCCAATGCTGCAGGTCCACTCACGACCCTCGGAGCTCAAGGCCCACAAACACCCAAAGACACCCACATCACTGATATTAGCAATAGACAACAGCTGCAGCTACAGGCAGTGCCCCATAATCCCCTGGGTTTTCTGCATCCCCTGAGTGTCGCCACCGGGTCGCACCTGGCAGGTGCCTTGGCTGCAGCCGCGCCCCACTCCTCCGCGCCGCGCTCACCTTCTCCCGGGTCTTCAGGTACCGCTGCAGCGCCTGCTGGGTGAGCTCGCCGACGCGCAGCTGGCCCTCCTTGCAGGGCACCACGATGCCCGTCCTGCCGAAGCACACGGTCACTTTCATCCTGGCCCCCGGCGACCACGCCGGGCCGGGCCGAACAGGTGTCTGACCCCGCGGGCGCAGCCCCCACTCTCGGAGGACGCCCGGGGCGGGTGGGCCCAGAGACCCGGGGCGCCGCTCCCCGGAACACCCTGAGGCCCGGAGGCTCGCGGCAGCGCCCCTTCCACCTGGCCAGGCGGCAGGTGGCGGGAATCGGGGAGGGGCGGCCGCGGAAAGGGGTTACCTCCCAGGTGCCCGGCGGCCCGGGACGCGGCAGCTCCGCGGCACCGGCTCCTCCTCCTCCTCCTCCCGCTCCTACTCCTGCCCGGCCCAGGCGGCTGCTCCGCGCCCACCAAAGCGAAACTGCCGGCCCTGCCCTGTCGCTGGTCCTGGCCCTGGCCCTGGCCCTGGCGGCGTTGGCAGGGCCGGCCCCAAGCCGGGGGCTGGAGTGGGCGGCGGCGGCGGCGGCGCACGGGGCCAGAGTTGGGAGGAAACTTTTGCGCCGGCTCCCAACTCCTCTGCGGCGCCCGCGCTCTGGGCTCCTGCGGTCCCGGCGACGGCCTGGGCCCGGCTCTTAAAGGGGCCGCGGCGCTCCCGGGCCCCGCCGCACGCTGGGCGACGACGTGCCCCGGCCCTGCGGGCCAGTAACTGGAGCCCGGGAGCCTCGTCTCGTCACCTGGGTCTCTCCCTGGCTCTCTCCCTCTCGCACGCATGCACACGGAGCTCTGGGGAGTTGTAAGGGGACCTGAGGGCTACACGCTCGAGGATTGAAACCGGATCTCAGAAAGAACACCCGAGGGAAGAGCGAGGAGACTGCAGAGCTGCGCCCTTCACAGGAGGGGACTGCAGCAAGATGCAAAAGGAGCCCAGGAGCAGGTGCTTCTAGTCACGCCCACCAAAAACACCCAAGGGGCGAGGCTGCCGGGTGCGGAGATGCAGGAGTGCCCCGAGGGCCTGTTAGGAACTCGCCTTAAGCACAGCCCGTGCCGCTGCCATCAGGAGCCCTGGGATAGCAGAGCTGAAGCGAACCTTGGAGAGAACGCGCCAGTGGAAACTTTTCCTTTTACAGACCCTCGAGGACACTGAGTATTTGGCCAAAGGTCACACCCAAGACCCAGATATGATCGCGTGTGTTGACACATAGCCTTCTGGAATGCGACTACCGTTGTGCATTTTATTAGGAAAAAAAAAAGTTAACACCCTTAGGCTCATGATTTGGCAGGTGTGTATCCATCACCAATTGAAATGGGAATATGTGGGGGAAACCAACAAATTACGTTAGTTTCATTCTTAGCTCTCATGTAAATGAGCTCCTTTGAGCTTAACAACTACCCGGTAGGTAGATATTATTCTTCGCATCTTGTGCATCAAGAATGGTGCTCGGAGAGGTCAAGAGACTGAGCAGACCATGGTGTTAGTTCTGTTGAAAAGAACTCAGGTCTTCTGAGCTCAATCTCTGGTCTCTCCCTGCAGTTTTCTTAGCCATCCAGTTCATCCAGCAAGACCCTCAGGGCTGCATCATGTGTTTCTCTACAGAAGGATGTGCTCCTATGTGGACACACTTAAATTGAACGTGAATTGCCTAGGATGGTATGATAATGCAGAGGAGATTAAATTCATGGGTTTCAAGAGGTTTTTTAAAAAAATAAATTTTAGCTCATTCATACATTCAGTAAGTATATATTGGTTGTCTTCTATGTATAGAAAGTCAGTGGCAAACCAAGAGGATCACGTAAACCAAGTCCATTGTAATTTGGTTGTAAATCCAATACAAACTAATTTACATTTAAATAAACCAAAGACAGAATTGATCACCTCATAAAATCAGAAGATCCAGAGGGCACTCCATTGAGGCAAGGTTGAAAGCAGGAACTCAAACTATGTCCTCAGGGGCCAGCTAGCTCTGTCCAGCTCTTAGCTCTATCTGTTCCTCAGTGTGGTCTCCATTCTCAGGCCAGCTCTCTTCAAAGGAGACACTTTATCCTCTTTTTAGAGATGAGGAGCTGAGGCCAAAGGAAGTTAAATGATTTAGTTAAAATCTCATTCTTAGAAAGTAGCAGAGGCTGGCTTAAAACCCAGGTCATCTGATTCCAGAGTCTTCATCGTAACTGCTGTGCTGTTTCTTACATGAGAAGTACCAATGAGTGAATCAAACAAACAAATAGATACTGATGCCGTGCATTAATGTGTGGCCCTCACTTTTAATATTCGGTATTTCATGGACCTATAGAATGGTACAGAGCAAAGATTTTCCACTGATGAAATAACTTTGCATGTTGCCATCCTTCCTGCATCGTGGCTTTTTGCTTTACAGTTGCTCCAGACTCATTTTCTTCTGCTTGGGTCATGAATAGCTCCTCCTCTTCGCCACAAATTCCCTCTTAGCCCAGCTTTAGCTCCTTCCCAATATCTAGAACCTCCCACCCCAAGTCCTGGCTTTGATAATCCCCAAGTGAACCATAAAGAACACTCCGGCTCTCCCAGTTCCACTTGGGAAGTTGGAATCGGGACCTAGGGGATGCAGCAGAGGCCATGCCATTGTGAGATGAAGGAAGAGATGACTCTAGACAAGGATGTGAACAGTGCATTGTGCAATCCTGTACACCATGGGGTGACCTTTTATAGCCCTAAGTTAGTATGAAGAGTTTAGTGTTTACATTTCATGTTTATTAAATAGCCAGGTTTAATTTGTTATTCAGCCTCATCACAGCATATATAGAAACAATTTACCATATATTATCAAGGGATTAAAAAAAAGAACACAATTGCAACACACAGTCATTCATGCCCAGCAAATTCCTAAATCAATATTTCATGCCCCATGGGACCTCCTGGGCAGAAGACAATAAATAATTTGCCTTGATTGAGTAACACTAGATGATGCCAAGCCCGGGTTCCATTTTCTTGTTTTGCCTGCTCGGTAGATAAATATGCCTGTGATGTGATATTTTTCCATTTGTTATCCAACAGCTTAGCAAGTACTGGAGTAGCCAGTAAAGAAGTGTTATACAGAGAAAGAACAATAATCCTGACCAATATTATTAAACCACCCTGCCTAACTAAAATGTCAGGTACTATCAGGTATACATTGAATGAAGAATGATAATATTTAATCTATAGTTGACCAGTAATTGAGTCTCATGTTTTGCACTGTTAAACAAAATATTTTTACCTTTCAAGGAATTATTTATAGCAAGTACTATTTATCACAAAAAAATTGAATCAATTTTACTAATTAAATTAACTTATTTATAAAACCCTTGGAGCATTAGTATAAAAGATCACATTCTTTGCTTCCTTCTGAAAGCAGGTGCAAGAATGATTGCATAAATAATGAAAGAGAAAAATGGGTATTCGTTTTCATTTTTTCCCTTTTATATTTAAAAGCAAATGGTCTGGGTTATTGTTTAACTGGACAAGAATGGATTCTTCTTTAGAGCTGTTTGTCTCTAAATACTGCATGGCATTCATTTGTTGACATTTTTGGTTATTTATTTCTGTAGCTGTCCTGGATGCACAAATAACAATGCTCTTCACCCTAAGGGGAATATTATGGGCCACCGGCTTTTTGGAAGGTCCATTTTTTGCCCATCCTATAAGCAAGACTCACAAGTCTTCACAAATGGTACAGCTATATCACCCCTCCTTATATTGAATTCTACTCTGTAGAAACTAATATTCTCCCTAAGTTTGTTTTCTTGAAAAGGAGCTGAATCATGAAATGAGCATCTCTTAAAAAAAAAAAAAAGTAAAATGAGCAACCAAAAGCAAGGAAACTGTCCTGATGCTGTTATATTAAGTTAATTTTGATTATTAATTAGTTGTTTTCCTCAATGTGTGATCTCCTTCTCTGAAGCTCACTGGGGCCCATTAACGGTAAGCACAGGAATAGGCCCTACTCTGGATAGGACCAAGTCCTTTCACCTCTAGGCATCTGTAGAAGACTGTTAGAAAGAGGGCCAATAGCAGTGGTCATTGGTGCTCTCCAGCAAGCTCAGCTGTCCAAAGATAGCTTTGAGGTAAGGGTGCAACCAAGAGTTCTCTTTTCAATTCTGCTTACTTTACCAAAGGCCACTTTCTGATTCTCATTTATATCCCTTTACTTGGAGAGGAAGTGAACGGGCATCCATGTAATTGACAGAAGGTAGAGAGAGATTTGGGCCTGGACATTTCAGTGTGTAAGTCATGTGTGCGCAGTGATAAGCTAAGTAATCTTAGTCATATGTCACTATCCTTTTTTGTAAAATGGGATGATAACTCTATTTTAAGGTGTAATATACATAAAGCACTCAACACATAGTAGGCAAGATATATTGCCCTCTTTCAACTTTTTTTCCACTTACTAGCATTTCTAAATGTCACTTGTTTTCATTGAGTCTGAAACTACTTGCAAAGTGAAACAATTCAAATGATACGTAGAAACTGCACATCAAGTACACAACTGCTGGAGACAAAGTGTAACTAGCTCTGTAATGAGGGTGCCAGGACCATAGCAAAACTAATGTTAAGATGTGTATTCTAATTCACAATCTACATATTATTTCATTTGATGCTCAAAAAGCAATCCGGAAACATTTAATCTAGTATCTGAGAATCACAGAATTACAGAGCTGAATGGGGCCTTGCAGATTACCTGATACAATATCCTCATTTTGTAGATGAGGAAACTGGATTAGAGAGGTCAAGGAAACTGGTTCAGCCAGAATCAGAACCCAGAACCTCTTGGTCATAGTCCAGTGCTTTCTTCACTTCCCTGTCTGTCTGGTAACAGAATTTATAACATTAGATATTTGACCAACATTAGTTTAAGGCTTTGTGGTTTGTTGTTGTTGTTGAGACAGAGTCTAGCTCTGTTGCACAGGCTGGAGTGCAGTGGTGCAATCTTGGCTCACTGAAGCCTCTGCTTCCTGGGTTCAAGCAATTCTCCTGCCTCAGCCTCCTGAGTAGCTGGAATTACAGATGTGTGCCACCACACCTGGCTAATTTTTGTATTTTTAGTAGAGACGAGTTTTCACCATGTTGGCCAGGCTGGTCTTGAACTCCTAACTTCAAGTGATCTGCCTTTTTTGAGCTCCCAAAGTGCTGGGATTACAGGTGTGAGCTACCGGAGCCAGCCATGGCTCAAGGCTTTGAACTCTCACTGGGCTAGGAAGTGCTGGTATGGTGTTCATTCTTCTACCTATTCCTTCAGTTTCAATTTAAACTTAAGATTCTGAACACTTATTCTCCCCACAATTGTAAATATCAAAAAAGTTTGCTGAGTATTTAAATGACTATTGCAGAAAATTATAAACCACCAAAGGATTTTAAGCAGGACAGTAACATGATCGGATTTGTGTTTGGTGGAATGCAGAGGACCTGAGAGACAGGCAGAAGCCCCATCTTAGTTCATTCAATCCACCATTCATTTTCTAATGCAACAGTAGTTTTTCAACACCTATAACGTAACTGAGCACAAAGTGACTATGAAGCTTAGACCCTAGTGAGGAAGACAGATAATAAATGACTAATCAAATGAACAAAATATTTGCACATTG
The DNA here is from genome assembly GCF_000001405.40 of Homo sapiens. Lineage (NCBI taxonomy): Eukaryota > Metazoa > Chordata > Mammalia > Primates > Hominidae > Homo > Homo sapiens. Next base: position 204,540,486 of record NC_000002.12, on the reverse strand, counting down.
TTATAAAGTATAATAAAAGGTACAAACAGCAGGGTTCTGTAATAGAGAATAATTGGGTAAGGGAGAACCTATTTATATTGGATTGGTAAGAGAAAAAAAGTTACTTTGGGAAGAACCCAGAGAAAAGGTGAACAGTAAATGCAAATATCTCTGAGATAAGACCAAGAGTGATGTGTTTTAGGAATTAAGAAAAAGCCAGTTTGGTTCCTGGAGCATTAATGAGCCAAAAGACAGGCAGGAAATGAGGTAGAAGAGATTGTCTACAGCAGTGGCCTCCTAGAAGACTAAGGCAATACAGATGATGAAGAGGGGAAGATTGGGGATATCTTTCCGAATTTGTGATAGGTGGAGGATGGTAAGCTTTGGGGAAAAATTAAGAAACATTGTTTTCTAGTTCAGACAACTAGTTAATAAGTGACATAATTGGCCGGGCACAGTGGCTCACACCTGTAATCCTACCACTTTGGGAGGCCGAGGCGGGTGGATCACCTGAAGTCAGGAGTTCAAGACCAGCCTGCCCAACATAGTGAAACCCCGTCTCTACTAAAAATACAAAAATTAGCCAGGCATGGTGGTGTGCACCTGTAATCCCAGCTACTCGGGAGGCTGAGGGAGGAGAATCACTTGAATCCAGGAGGAGGAGGTTGCAGTGAGCCAAGATCGTGCCAGTACACTCCAACCTGGGCGACAAAGTGAGACTCCATCTCAAAAAAAAAAAAAAAAAAAAAGAAGAAGAAGAAGAAGTGACATTATTAGTTAAAGCTAAGGAAGTTGGAAAGTGGGGAGGCCTTTGCAGATGTTAGGGAAAAAAAAGAGTAAGTTCAGTTGGGACATTCTAAGTTTGATGTGCCCGCGAAGCAACCAGGTAAAAATGTTTAGTCGGCTGGAAATACAAGTTTGGAGCTCAGGAGAAAGTCTAAAGACTATATATTGAGATTCAGGGGTCATAGATTGAAGCTCAACTTGTCAGAAGAGAAGAGATCATCCAAAGAAGGAGTTTAAGATGAAAAGGCAATAGGGCTTAGACTAGAATCCTGGAAAATGCCAATATTCAAAAAGAGGGAGATCTGGAGAAGTTACATATGTGTATAATGATGAATTGTTAATGATGATAAGGTATTATTCTTATTCTCTATAAGGTATTATCAATGTCAAAGATGTGATAAGAAAGGGCGCTGCTGCCCTAGTGAAGACACAACAGTAGAAAACAGGAAATTGAATGTTAAGAATGGAAAGCAAGAGTGTCTGACCAGAACAGATAGGTTTCATCAGAGCATAACATAGGATATAAGGCTAGAAAGATTCAGGAAGAGGAAAATGATTCAGGGACAGCTGTGAGAAATAGATTAAGGATTTGGGATCTAAAGCACCAAAGAGATAGCTTCTAGATGCTTGAACAAAGTAGTCATATGCATAAAACAGCATTTGATAGTCATTATTTTGACATCTTTATATATAAAGACTTTGAGTAGGAAGTGATTGAGTTTGGGAAGAATCCAAAAGAAAGATGTTGGAGTAAGTCATATCAGGCTGAATTTAAGTGAAACGTCACATGTGTACATATTTGTAAAATATCTCTGCCTTTACGTATGTTTATCCAGAGTAGTAAACTGTATTATTGCTTAATGTAAAGTCCTTTTAGTCTGCTATTCCATGAATGGAAAGTGGAGAAATGCCGTATGATTCAGGGTCCAGTCAGGCAAACTGAAAACATACCCTGTATCAAACAGAGGGAGTTGAATACGAGAAATTAATTACACTGTTGATGAAAGGGCTGGGAAGCCAAGCAAGACATGGGAAGGCAATTCAGAGATTAGCCACAGCAGGAAGCTGCTTCTTTCTCGAGGGCGAGGGCTGGCTGTATGCAGGGAGGATGCAGAATGTCAGCAGAACCCAGAAGCTGGGCCGCCTGGCAGGAGCTAAAACCAAAGCAAGGACTGAGCTGAGAGCCTGTCCAGAGAAGACCTGCAACTATCAGGAGGAGTTGCAGCCACAGCCAGAAAACACAACCAGGGGAGAGAAGGAGAGAGAAAAGAAGACGAGAGACAAATACCCACCCCCTGGATTCTTTTCTTCCCCCTTCCATGCTTCTACCAGTGTGTAGTGCTAGCAGGACTGGCGGGAAGCCAATTAGCAGGGAGAAGGGCAAGGAAGTGTTTGGGAACAAACCTAATAATTTGCCCAGAAGGTCTTTCCTAGTGGGCTTCTACAACGATTCATAAATAGAGATTTTAAATCTCACTAATATTTTAAATTTAGGAGAAGCACTAACAATGTTTCCAATTCAATCTGGTATATTTGCAAAAATGAATTTTTTTCCCAGACTAAGCTAAATTCATGCTTTTCTCAAGAGAAAGCACTTCTACATTTTAACAGTGAAATATAAGCTCTTCCCTGATTGCCAAAATCACCATTAATTTCCGTCATCATTTAAGAAATAAAAAAATTTCTACTCTTGCTCAGTTATCAACTCAAATTAATAGTTTGGTTTAGCTATGATTGCATAGTACTGTAAGCAGCAAATCCAAAAATCTTATTAATATTAAATGCTGCGGTCAAACTACGTGCTATCTGATAATATTTCATTTATTTTATATGCTATAATTTTAGAATTCATAATGAATTCTAAATGAATTCTAATCCATGAATTCATAATGGAAGATTTGAAAGACTATATGATTTACAGTTATGATTCATTTGTATAAAATTATTTGATACAGCCATTAATGCTTTGCCACATGTATACATGAATAAGTATAATTTTATTTCAATATCAAAAAATGAATTAATCCATATTTTCCTTCAAACGTGTGCACACTTGTTAATATGTATATGTTACGACTTTTTAAATGCTCTTTTATTATATAATCAGAATATAAATAGAATAAAGAAAATAAATAGGTTATATATGGACTTTAACATGTCTCACAAGACTTGAAAAGAGCAATTTCACAGCAAACAAAAATAACTATCCGTTTACCATGTATATAAAACTTCTGGCAAGTGATACCCACAAAATGATGGTATTAACAATGAGTAGCATATGTCGGTCATGCCTCTACCAAATCCAATAAGTTTCATTAAGTTGCAAGTTCCTTACTCAAAGAGGCAGTGCTATATGCTGAAGGACTAGGATAGCTATGGATAAGACTAAGAGTGGTCCCTGACTCAAAGACAGCCATGCATAGGCTAGTCAACCCCTGATATAATCTGATATTAAAAGCAAGTAAAGTCATTGGTGATCAGCTAAGCCACACAGATTGGCTCCTTCTAGTATGTAGGCTACAGAATAGAAGAGGATTGGCTGCTTGGTATTGAAGGAATCAAAAAGCCAAAACCTTGAGATTTCAGTGGCTCGTGAGATAAAAGCACTTTTGGAGCTGCCTCAAGTGTCCATTGACCCCAGTACTAACCTACAAATATTGTCAAAATAACAGTCACCTGCTAACCAATTATTTTTTGTCACATTATTTTGAGTGAGACTGATTCTTAAAACCAAAGCAACTTATTCTAGCAAAGAACAAAAAGAACTTAAAAGTAAATTCAAGAGGAGATAAATTAATGGACAATAAGTCATGGACCCAAGGCTTTTACATATATTTTTGCCAGAATGAACCCAGGGCCTACTGACAATAAACTGGATTATAGCTAGAGTAATTGGGAAGTCAATGGAAACTTGAATAAATTTTCTTGAAGAAAGGAAATTGAACACTGGCTCTTAGGAGTTGGTAAGCCGTGATTGCAGGAAGCTGCAGGAAGCTATGTGATCGTGCCCCTGCACTTCAGCTTAGGCAACAGAGCAAGACTGTCCCAAAAACAAACAAACAAACCAAAAACAAAAACACTTTATGAGCTAAACTAGAGTAATCACCAAGGAAACACCCATTTAGGATGGGAAGATACAGCATAAGAACAGAGCCAAGGCCTGGGACTTTTCTGCATTCCAGAAGAAACAAGCAAACCATTTTTTCTTGAATAACTATTTGATGGTTGCAAATATGGCCAACCATAGGCAGAAACCAGAGACAATGAAACTTTATTCTTGAGAGGCATATTGTTAGGAGGAACTCCCCAGAAGAGCATTTGAACCCTACTGCTGGGGCTCAGAAAACAATATCCCAAAGTATGGCACTTTGGCATGCTAGTCCTTTGAACTAAAGGAGGTTGGAAGCCCTCAGAAGCAGTTTCAGAAGCAAAGTCTCTCTCTCTCTCTCTGATCTTCTGCTGCCCTCCTATCTCCTGCCCCCTACCCCTCTTTCTCCTCCAAAGCAAGTCATAGAAACCAGAATTCCTCTTCCCCATGGTGGGTCATAGAAAATAGAACCCATCTTTCCCAAAGTAAGTCATAAAACCCAGAAATACGACTCTAGCCTTCCCCTTACTCTAACCTTTCTGTATAGGAACTGGCCATGGAGAAGTTCTCTGATCTACCTTAGCTGGTAGTAGAGCATAAGACTTTTGTTCCAGAGGAGTCCTGCCTGATAGCTAGAAGGAAGGAACTCTACACAGAGAGGCCAAGAAGAATCTGAACAGACAGGTCTTGCTAGGTCCCTGCCTCCCTAGCCTATTACCATTATTTAATCCCATGTTTGTCCAATTACATTTATACATGGCTGTTTGCCTATTCTTCATCAAATTCAGACATAAAAATGTACAGTTTTCCCTGGGTATTTGAGTCTTCATGTCTGAAGGCTCCTGTGTCACATAAAACTTTGATTAAGTAAATTTGTTATGCTTTTCTCTTGTTAATCTGTCTTTTACTGTAGGAGTGTAGGCCATGACCCTTACGATGGGTGAGGAAGGGCCTTACACCTTTTCCACCCCTACCCTACTATAGTATAATGTGCGCTACAGTGAATCACACAGACCCACTCCCCCTTCAGGACTGAATACTCATCCGGTGATGCTGGTATTGTTGGCAGCTGAGAATCTCATCTGAGCCACTAACCAGGAATTACCCTCAATGGAACAGAGCCTCATTGCCCAAGATTGGACCTCATTCATAGGGCAGCCCACATGCCCACATTCAGTGAGTGGTCTATGTGTGTGAGGGAAGGAATAAAGGCCCAGACCCCTTGCTTGAAGGCTGATCAACTCTGAATGTCCATCACAGTTATGGAAAACCTTTGTTGCAAAAGTGTCCCTTCCCAACTCCTTTCTCCACGTAACCCTACTTCACTTCCACACAAGAACTGATTTTGAGCACATTCACCAATAAATTTACACATATGAATCTCCTTCTCATAGTCTGTTCTGCAGATAATCCAACCTAAGAAATAAGGTAATAAAAGAACTGTTAAAAATTCACAGACACGATGCTTTACATGGAAACGAGGGCTCAGGTAATGAGTGATAAACAGACCTAGAGATAATATGAATGCTTGAATAGATGAAGGAATGTATTGTAAATGACTCCAGTTATTTTCAGAAAAACACCCAAAAGGGTGAATTAGCAGAAAATGGAACCAAATAAATAGCTGATAGTAGCTTAGTGATAGTGGCTCATATGGGTCTGATACAATGGCCAAAACGTCTATTGAAGCCTGTGAGCAGGATTCCTGAAAGCCTAGGAGAGTTAACAGGAACTTCCAGCATCTTGAGAAGGAAGCTGTATTAGTCCATTCTTGTGCTGCTATGAAGAACTGCTTGGGACTAGGTAATTTACAAAGAAAAGAGGTTTAAAATTGACTCACAGTTCTGCAGGGTTGGGGAGGCCTCAGAAAACTTACAATCATGGTGGAAGGCACCTCTTCACAGGGTGGCAGGAGAAAGAATGAGTGCAAACAGGGAAAATGGTAGACACTTATAAAACCATCAGATCTCATAAGAACTCACTATCACAAGAACAGCAAGGGGGAAACCACCCCCATATTTCAATTACCTCCTACCGGGTCCCCCCGAAACACTTGGGGATTATGGAGATTACAGTTCAAGATGAGATTTGGGTGGGGACACAGTGAAACCGTATCAGAAGCCATTGCAAGAAAGGCAAACCCCCTCATGTCTCATATTCTAGCTAAAAGAAAATCATTTTAATTTTGCATTCTACTTGACAGTACATTCATATTGTTTTTTTATTAAAAATATGTTTTAGATTAATTTTCATTAAGAAAAAGTATTTTCTTACCATCTCTTTGGCTAAAGAATGGGATGTTAATCCACTGGGTCCTTCAGCTTTATCCAGGCAATTTCTCTCCACTGCCGAAGGTTTATAATTGTTATTACAAATTGAGAAGTTAGTCATCTAAATATGTATTACAAATGGCAATCGTTTACTTTTTTATAACTTTATGAGCAAAGAGCTGAGTGTGGTGACTCATGCCTGTAATCCTAGCATTTTGGGAAGCCAAGGTGGGAGGATCACTTGATCCTAGGAGTTCAAGACCAGCCTGGGCAACATAGGGAGAACTCGTCTCTACAAAGAATAAAAAAATTAGCCACATGTGGTGGCTCACACCTGTGGTCCCAGCTACTCAGGAGGCTGAGGTGTGTTGAGCCCGGGAAGTTGAGGCTGCAGTAAGCTATGATGGCAACATGGCAACAGTGTACTCCAGCCTGGTCGACAGAACAAGGCTCCCCTGCCAAACAAAACAAAACAAAACTTTATGAGCAAAACCAGAGTAATCACCAAGGAAACACCCATTAAATTGATTCAGCTGTTCAGCAAATATTTATCTAGTGACTACTATGTGTCAGGTTCTATTTTAGGTTATACAGCAGTAAATGAGAGAAGCAATACCTCTGCTCTCCTGGAAGCTACACCCAGGACTGAGATTTCCAGAATGTGGCCAAAGGGGCTTTAGTACAAATTTTCATACTACTGTTGGTGAACATTTCAGTAGTCTTTCTCCTGTGAGGTCATGTCACTTCTGACATGTGATGATCAGTAAGCATTTTTGATCCACTCATCAGTTTCGAGTATGCCCTGCAGAATTACTCAAAGGATATTTTAAGTGATGAAAAATTGCTGAGAGTGTTGCTTATTTATTTCTAACTCTATAATTTTCATCAAATTTACAAACTAAGAGTGGTTATCCACAGAATCAATTCTCATTACCCAACTCTCAAACTTCATTTTTGTTATAGCCATTTTGCCATATGCAATGAAAGCCTCCGCAGTTTTGCCTTGAAGGTACTGATTGTGAATAAGAGCTCTAAAACAAAATAAATCTCTGCTTACCTCACCAAAAATTTTAAACTCTCCTTAAGTTATAGTTAAGATAAACAATGAATTCATTCTTCTAAGCTTTTGCCTCTAGTTCTGATATCTTTTTAATATTTTTTTCTCTGTAAGGTAAAATAATTCAGCCTTGAGAAAAATTTATCCTTTACCTTTTCCTACCTAAATCAATGTGCATCTGTGTAGTTGATGAAGTTTTCAAAATTACTTCTCATTTTATTACAAATGACCTCACCTAAAACCATTGGCTTTTAGTTTTAATGTTTGTGTCAATCAGGTTTCTAGAAAGAATCACATGGCACACTTTAACCAGGTTAAGTGATGAAACTTTACTACAGAAACCACTTACTGGTGTGGGCAGCTTTAGGCAACCCAACAATGGCAGGTGCAGTTAGAGCTAGCAAGATGGGAAGACATTACATCCCTACTAAGACTGATATAGAAAGGGCCACCTGACATATCATGAACACTAGCCCAGCAGAGATGCAGCCAATCCATAGCAACGTGGCAGAAAGAGAGCTGGGAGACTAAGTACACCCATCTCATATCCTTCCACATCTATCTCCTACAGGTACATTTCACTGATCAAGCCCACTTGGAGGCAGAAGGCAGAAAGTCCTGTGAAACTCCTGTAGCTAAGAGTTTGTGTGGAAAAGGGTGGAGGGTGGATCTGAAGGGACGTAGGGAATGTGTCCAGCACACTGTTGTTTTAATTTTTTTCTGAAATAATTTATTCTTTTCCCCATCCTATTGAACATTATGCAAAAAAATCAAGAGTCAGACTGTGAGGTGAAGTGTTCACCATGAAGGATGCACCTTCAAGTATGCAATGGCGTGGACTGTGAACATCGCCTCTGGCCATTTTGCCATCCTAGATTTGGCTCCGTCCATCAAGCTTACTTGAGGAACAAGTATTTCTAAAGTCTCTTTGGTGTGGCTTGATCCCTCAATACACATGACTCTCACTAGATAACAAAGCCCTTCATTACTTTTGAACCAGATAGACGTTTGCTAGACTATTAGGAGTTGCTAGGGCTAGGCGCGGTAGCTCATGCCTGCAATCCCAGCACTTTGGGAGACTGGGGCGGGTGGATCACCTGAGGTCAGGTGTTCGAGACCAGCCTGGTCAACATGGTGAAAGCCCCTCCCTACTAAAAATACAAAAATTAGCTAGGCGCAGTGGTGGGCGCCTGTAATCCCAGCTACTTAGAGGCTGAGGCAGGAGAACGGCTTGTACCCAGGAGGGAGAGGTGGTGGTGAGCCGAGATTGCACCATTGCACTCCAGCCTGAGTGACTTGCTAGGAGTGTTTGAAAAGTTTTACTTATCTCTTAAAGTCGATTTTTGTTGCGCAGAGTAACCAAACTTTCGTGCAAAATATCTATTGATATCATCATTAAAATAAGAATGCTGACCAGAAAGGACTATTACTATACTCAATTTGGCATTTTTTGTTTTTCCTAAACACGGCTATAATATTTATATTCATATTATTATTAAAATATTATAATTATCTATTTAAAAGATTAAAATCAGGTGCTAGACTTATATCATAGAATAGGATATAGAAACAGTCTCAGGCATATGAACCATTTACAAATGACATAAGTTTAGAAACAGGTAGTTGGAGAGTCTGCTTTCTGAGTTTATATTTGCAGGTCCAAACTGGTGGTGAATAACACTGGAGAAAAGATGTGAAAAATCAAGTCCTGTTTTCACATTTCTTTCGCTAATATTTTTTCAATCATCTTAAAACAGTCATATCAACATATTAACCCATTTCAAATAGTGCCACTTTTCCAGATTATTCAAGAGGACAAGTCATGCTGCTTCTGCCTATATTTTGTGCTGTACAGAAGAGCCCCAGAGTTTTACTATCATCTCATCCTGTCCCTAGCATCCCCGGGAAAGCTTCTTTAATTCCTGTACACTTGATCTCAGGGACCTTTGAACAAAATAATTGGAATAAAATAACACACCAAAGGTCTAAATGCTGTTGCCGTTCCCAAATGGGAGACCCTCTTGACAACTGTTGACTGAGAATTTCCCCCAAATGTTACAAAGCAAAATGAAAACTTCAGCTTTAGAACTAAGTAGGTCAATCCAAAATGGTGAGTCAAGAGCCCATAAAAGCAAGCCCAGAATCAGAATCCTAACCCAGGAAGGGCTGGCTAATGAGCTTCCAGATTCAGTTCCAATCAAGAGATTAGAGAGGAGCTGCAGTCAAAGCCTGGCAATTAGCATGTTTGAAGCTGTGGCAAAGACAATAACATTAGCAAAGCTAAGAGAAGAAAGGGTTAACAGAAATCTCTGAGTGGTAGAGTGAGGGAAAAGAGGATGGGACCAAGAAGTTAGCCTGTCTAGTCCCTAGGAGGTGTCCTCACCAGAAGACTTCATCATCTCGCTGGCTGATGCTCTCCTCGGTGGGGGAAGAATATGTTTCAAGCACTCTTAGCTGAAGAACCCTTCATTAAGAAAACCTAATTCCTCTTTGTTTGTACTTAATATTCCCCAAGTAATCTTGACTGTAGGTTACATTTCCATCTGTTTGCCTCAGGGAGAAAATGTGTGATCCAAATACTACTTCATGAATGTCTTGTCTAAGTACCACCTTGAAGACTGGCACAGGCTACTGAACTGGATGTCTGGGTCCCGAGCTGGGCTCTGCCACCTACTACCTGTGGGATTCTGGACAAGTGACTCACCCTTTCTGTGTCTCAGTTTCCTTGTCTTAATGGGAATTCATAAGAGATCCTACATACCTTTCAGGATTGTTATGAGAATTGACATGAGACAAAAGACTTTTCAATAGTGCTTTCTGATTTAGACTTCACTTTTAGTAGATTTAGTTGGCTTGAGCCAATTTCTCAGACTTCCCTATTTGTGGGCACTGAAAAGCTTTTATGCTCAGATGCACAGGCTAAGAACTGCCTCTGACTTCCTAACTGACAGAACCCCTGGAAAGTACCTTTGGACAACGCTATCATTCTTTTTTTGTGGGGGGATGGGGAGAAGCAGAGTATAGTAAGGTAAATTCCTACAACCTCGTGGGCGAGGAAAACACCACTCCACACCTTGAGTCAGGGACAATAAGGGAATTGAATCTAGCTATGAGACAGCTTCCCAATCTTTTGCCTTTTGTCCCTGACATTCACTATGGTAGGAAATATCCAAACTCCTTGAAAAAAATATGCTGTGCATATGTAAGGTTTTATTGCTCAAATCACTCTGCCAAAGTCTCACACTCCCAAGGCCAAAGTGCGGCCTTTGAAGAAGTCCATTTGCAGAGGTGTGTCTACCATCTGGCCTAACCTGCCCAGAGGCAGGGAAACTGAAAACTAGTCCGATTCAGAAAGTAAAAGTGCTCCTGGCTCAGATTGAGGGATACGTATCTGGTCAGTACAGCAGAAGGCATCCAAGTTTGAACAGGGGCAACAAGCAGAGGCTGGGGCCTACACCTAAAGCAGAGTTACCCAACCCTAGGGACATGGCAAGACACTCTACAGTGTTGTCCAAACATAGTAATGAAACAATTCTTTAACATGTAATGGCACTGCACCCATGAATGCACCTCTACATCTGTAAGTCTAATAAAAACTCCTCTGAACTGACACGGTCAGCCCACTCTTCAAATTTCCCACTGGAAGTTGCAAAACTACTAACAACGTTTATATTTGGGATACTGTAAACTCGACTTCTTCCATAATGCTCTGGCTACCCCACCTGAACTCTGACTTTTGGGTAACATCATCACCTTTCCTGAAAATGTCTCTGACCAAATCACTTTATCTAGACCCAGCTCTGTTTCCCATACAATAATCCTGCCATCATGCAACTACCTCTGCTCTTTGAACACTGACCATCTGCTGATGCCACTGTGTCAACTTTTCTGCAGCTGTTGCATCCTCACCTTGAACATCATACCAGTCAGGGACCCGGCAGGAAACAGATGGTTCACTTAAAGGGTTAATTGAAAAGAGTTTAATGTGGGAACAATTTGCAAGTGTGGGCAGGGTGAAGGGAGCCAACAAGGGAGAGTGTACAGAGATTAGCGAGCAAGAAGCTTAATGCCCGGAGGCCTGAGAAGGCAAGAGGACAGGGCAGATACCAGATCCTGGATAGAGGCACAGCTGTGGGATAGCACTACCCCACAGAATCTGTGGCCACAGGTTAAGTGGCACAGTCGTCACCCAGTGCACCAGGCTCCAGAGACACCAAATGTGCCACATAACTGGGAGAACAGATAGCCCAGCTTTCTCTTCTCTTATTCTTCATTTTTCTGTCGAGTCTCTTAATTGGTTGACTCTAACTTGAATCCATAGCTCTGTCCTGGAAACAAAGCTAGCCCTCTCTAGATCTGCAGGCATTGCGTGCACATAGCATTGCAGTTAAGAGCATGAGGTGGCCAGCTGAGATTACCTGAGTTTGAATCCCAGCTCTACCACTTACTAGTTGTGTGACCTCAGCGCAATTATTTAAGTCCTTAGGCTTTAATTTCCTTGTGTGTGAGTGGAGCTAATACTAGTACACATGCTGCTGTAACAATTTACCACTAACTTAGTAGCTTAAAACAATACACATGTATTATTTTACAGTCTGAAGCTCAGAAGTCTAAAATGGTTCTTACAGGGCTGATTTCAAGGTATTCCTTCTGAAGGCACTAGAGAAAAATCTCTTCCTTGCCTTTTACAGTTTCTAGAGGCTGCCCACATTCCTTGGCTCATGACCCTATCACTCCACCCTCTACTTCCATCTTCACATCTCCTTCTCTGACCCCCTGCCTCCCTCTTATAAGGCCATTTGGACTACATTGGGCCTACCCAAATAATCAGGATAATCATCTCATCTCAATATCCTTCACTTAATCTCATGTGCGAAATCCTTCACCCACAAAATCACATGTGCAAAGTCCTTTTTGCTATATAAGGTAACATATTCACAGGTTCTGGGGATAAGGACCTAGACATCTTTAGGAGACCATTATTTTGCTTACCACAGCACCTCACAAGATGGCTGTGACAGCATACAAGATAATGATCTGTGAAAACTGCCTAACTCAATGCCTGGCATATATGAAATAGGCAATAAATGCTGGCTGTAATTTTTAGGAACCCTTTCCCCTCCTCCCTTCTTATTCTTCATGCTGAAGACTCTTAATTTGTTCATTTTATCTAGCCTCCTTCACTTTCTCCTTTCTGGGGAGAAATCTTACAAAAGACAAAAATCTGGTGTAGGGGTAATATAGATTAGAAGTGTGTCCCTTCCAAATCTCATGCTGAAGTGTAATCCCCAATGTTGGAAGTGGGGCCTGGTGGGAGGTGTTTGGGGAGTAGACCCTTCATGAATGACTTGGTGCTGTCCTCATGATAATGAGTGTGTTCTTGTTCTGAGTTAATGCAAAATCTAGTTGTAAAAGAGGGTGGCATCTCTCCTTTCTCTTGCTTCCTCACTGGCCATGTGACACCCCCACTCCCACTTCACCTTCTTCCATGAGTAAAATCTCCCTGAGGACTCACCAGAAGCAAAGCAGATGCCAGTGCCATGCTTCCTGTACAGCCTGAAGAACCATGAGTCAATTAAACATATTTTCTTTATAAATTACCCAGTCTTGGATATTTCTTTACAGCAACAGAAAAATAGGCTAACACAAGGGAGAATTAATGAGTTCTGTTTTGAATGTGTTGAATTTGAAGTGCTTGCAGGGAAAATGGATAAAAATAGTAGGCAATTGGGAAACTGGCTCAGAGGAGATATTGGGGCTGAATCTAGGTTTTAGAATCATGTGTATGATTCAATTCACAGGATTTGATGTCACTGATGAGACAGTATGTAAAACAAGAAAGAAAGATTGAAGAGGAGCCCTGGGGAGCAATACCATTTAAAGGGAAGGAGAAGACTCTCCAAGGAGACCCTGAACAAATGGATAGAGAGGTTCAAGAAGACCAAGAAGTGACAGATGCCTCTAAGGCTAATGTGGGAGAAGATTCCAACGAGTATGGTCACAAAAGTCTCACAGGGATGAGAAAGATGAGGACTAAATGTGGCAGGTAAGTTGGAAGTAGTCTTTTTTGGTAGAGTTTCAGTTGAGTAGTGGATGCATAAACCAGATTTTAGTTGTCATGTTTGCTGCATGTTTCAATGAATTGCTGGAGTGAATGACTGGTGAGGAACAAAGAAAGTGAGGCTTTATAAAATGGGCTGTTGGCCAGGTACAGTGGCTCATACCTGTAATCCCAGCACTTTGGGAGGCTGAGGCAGGCAGATCACCTGAGGTCAGGAGTTTGAGACCAGCCTGGTCAACATGGTGAAGCCCCATCTCTACTAAAAATACAAAAATTAGCTGGGCGTGGTGGTACCCTCCTGTAATCCCAACTACTTGGGAGGCTGAGGCAGGAGAACAGCTTGAACCCAGGAGGCAGACATTGCAGTGAGCCAAGATTGTGCCACTGCACTCCAGCCTGGGAGACAGAGCAAGACTCTGTCTCAAACAAACAAACAAAAACAAACAAAAAAAGGCTGTTACAGGAAGAAAAGGATGTGGTGGCAGCATAAGTGGTCATAGACAGGTGAATATTTGTTTTAGGGTGAAGTAGACGTGGTTGCATTTATAGCCCTGGGGAGGAATCCAGTAGAAAAGTAGATATCATGGATAAAAGCTAGAGGTGTAATTCATGGAGCAAGTCTTAGAATAGGTTAGATTAAGCAAAAAGTGGAAAGAGATAAGGATGGCTAAAATGATGGGTAAGTTTGAATAGGAAAAGGAAGGTTTTAAGGAAGTTCTGCCTGATCGCCTTTTTTCTGTGAGGTTGGAGGTAAGGTGGTCTATTGAGAATGAGAGTGGCAGCATGAAGGGTACATGGCTTTGAGTTTCAAGGAGATATTGCTGTGAATTAAAAGGTGAACTGACTGGGTGACCTGAAGGTTGCTAAGCATGACTATGAACTCAATGAAGTTCAAGAACCGTACATTTCCAACAGAGCCCATCAGCATGGTTATACGGTTGTCTCTGACAGTAATCTGAGGATTAGCATGGTGGGTGGAATAGAGGGTGAGGAGGACCAGAGAATAGAGAGTATGGCTGACATGATTAACAATACCAGTTACTTCACCATCAATATGCATTGGCCTGCCCATATCATTTCTGAGTTTGCTAGGTGCCTGTAACCTTCAACTTAACTTGACCTCAGGCACCTACTCATTCATCCATACACTAGACCTTCATGTCTTTTTAAACTGCTCCCTCTCAAAGCTTTTGGTTTCTGAAATTGCCCTCTAACCACATTCATACACTTCTTACCACTTCCACTCCTTCTTTCCATTAACATTTCCTCTTTGCCTTCAACTTGACCTTCAGACTCTTAACCTGGATTCTCTCACACTTTTCTTTTCTTTTGAATTAATTGACTTTCCTGGCCAGCCAATACTCTGCATTTAGCCTTTGCATACTTTTACTTTCATATTTACATAAACACCAAGCAGAAATTGCCATTCTTTTTCTTTACTGCATCTCCGTCATAGAGAAACTTACAGTTTGAGAATGAATGTTGAACTTGCAACTGTTAGGGCAGATGCAGATACTATTTCAAATAATTCTGGTCCTGAAGACTAGTTAAATTGTGAGGCAATTCCCAGTCTGAGTCTGTTCTTGAGTGGGCCCAGCTTGGGATGATCTTGGAGTCAGTAGGTGGAATTAAAGTCCTGGTTCCGATTAAGAGTGCACCCGACCGGGCACGGTGGCTCACACCTGTAATCCCAGCACTTTGGGAGGCCGAGGTGGGCAGATCACGAGGTCAGGAGATCGAGACCATCCTGACTAATGCGGTGAAACCCCATCTCTACTAAAAATACAAAATACTAGCCGGGCATGGTGGTGGGCACCTGTAGTCCCAGCTACTTGAAAGGCTGAGGCAGGAGAATGGCGTGAACCGGGAGGTGGAGCTTGCAGTGAGCCAAGATTGTGCCACTGCACTCCAGCCTGGGCCACAGAGCAAGACTCCATCTCAAAAAAAAAAAAAAAAAAAAAAAAAAAGAATGCACCCCACTTCCCCACTTATCCCCAGCCTTAGACTTCCAGAAGCTCGCTTCTCTTCCCCTAAATTTTATTCATTTATCTTCACCATTGGGAAAGCCAAGTCACTTTCTAGTGGCTGAAAGGCAAGGTATTATTTCACTGGAACTCAGTACAAACTCAACTTGTGGGAATAAGATTTATTTTGCACTCTGAGCCACTACCAGTTATGAGCTCACAGTGAGTGCTAATCTGAAAAAGAGAACTTGATAAATTCTTGACATTCATTTGCAAAACTCATTCAAACTAATCCCACTTATCGTTCTCATATACTTTATTTTCTATGATAGAAAATGTTAGCTCTTATGTTAATGGTAATTTGGAGGATTCTTAAGATAAAAGGAGCATGGCCTTTCATAATTCACATAGAGAAGAAGGATCACAGAAAGCTAGACAAATATGACCTTGTAGAAGTTACCACATCTCTCCGGCCCCAGTTCCTACATCTCTCTGGCCCCAATAAAATGGGGATAAACATACCTACTGCATATAATTCTTGTTACAATTATAGAAAATTATGTTATAAAGTATCAAGAATGGTCTCCAGTGGTACGTCTGCAAGATTGTCTGTTGCCAACTTATCACCACCATCACCACACCCTTCCGAGTCCTGAAACTACATATCCCAGAGTCCACGTCCCAGCACAGTTCTGAGTTACAGTTTGTCCATGAGGATTAGACATAGCAGCTTCATTTATATGGCCCTTTGCAGATTCCTTCAAGATCCTGCATTGCAGTCTCAGTTTATGCTTCTACTACAATGACTAGATACTCATAGCTTCTAGACACTTTTATGAGTTCTGGTTATGCCACCCCTGCTAGTGCTTCTGGGAAGTGGTTTGTGACTGTTTTCCTGCGTAATGGTTAATTTTATATGTCAAATTGACTAGCTTAAGGGATGCACAGATAGCTGGTAAAACATTTCTGGGTGTATCTCTGAGAGTGTTTCTTGAAGAGATTACAAATTGAATCAGTGGACTAAGAAGATGCACCCTTACCAGTGTGGGTAGGCATCACTGAGAGCCCCAATAGAACAAAAAGGTGAAGGAAGGACAAATTATCTCTCTCTTGTTGAGTGGGACATCCATCTTGCCCTAGTTCTCAGGTCTTCAGACTTCAGTATTTAGACCAGCAGTCTTCCTGATTCTCAGGCCTTCAACCTCAGAGTGTGAGTTACATCTTCAGCTGCCCTGGTTCATAGGCCTTTAGAATTAGACTGAATTATACCACTAGTTTTCCTGGTTCTCCAGTTTGCAGACAGCAGAACGTGGAACCTCTCAGTGTTTACAATTGCTTGAGCTAATTCCCATAATAAATCTCCTCTTGCATATATATATACATTCTACTGTTTCTGTTTATCTGGAGAACCCTGTCTAACATATCCTAGTTCTCCAGTTGCAGGGTTCCAGCCCCTCTTTCCCCAGCTTGAGATGGCTCTGTTATTTTTTTTAACCAGTCCTAAGTTGGTATCCTATCAGAATATTTCTATGAAAGTCATTCCTACAATTGTGCAATTCTAGGTCTGAAAATAATCTCACGGAAGCATTTACTTTTTGCTTTTTTAAAATAGTTATTTTGGCTCTATTTCTATATAATGCTCCAAACTTCTTTACTAATTTTTACAGGCAGATTTTTACGCTCTGTCAAAATAAGAGTTTTATATTTGCTTATCCATTTCTGAAAAACCTCAAGCATCTAATAACTATTTTTAAAACTGGACTTTATTGGTATTTTATGGGCCTCTTCAATTAATCTGACAAACTGAAATTTACCACTGCTGCCATTGCTAGTCTGTGTTATTATCCCAATCCATTCCTCCCTTTATGATTTACTGAGAATGAATCTCCTGTTAAGAGGTTAACAGTTAGTTTTTCATCTATTTCTCCACAAATTACGCTGCTGCATACATATGTTAAAGCTATAATTCATAAATGAGAGTTAATGATATGTATTTTCTAATCTTGTGAGTAATTTTTAAGATTGATTTTGTTTAACAGTATGAATAAGCTATTTTTAGAAATGTGCAGTCTTGTCCAAAGTCCCTACTGGAGAGTCAAAAAAACCCAGGGTCTCAGAAGCTGGGTGTGGGTGGTGGTGGGCGCAGGAATAGACAGGAGTAAAAGGGAGCTGATGGCCGATTTCTAGGCTGAGGTGGAAAGAAAGTCAGAAAACTAAGGCTCCAAGGATGGAAGAAGAACAAAGTGACAATGGCTAATGGCTGTTGAGCTCTTAAGTCTCAGTCCTTGTTTTAAGTGCTCTTCCCATAGTATTACCTTAATTCCCAATCCACAACCCTAGAAAGTACTTATTATTACTAAACCCACATATCAGTTAGGGTGAGATATCAGAGAGTAGCAAGAGGGTGGGCTGCCTGAGGACTGAAAGGGCAAGGGGAGGAACGGTGTTACGGGGGCCCAGTGATTGCTACCACCATGGAGAAAGAGCCACTGCCAGAGCTGATCTTGAAGGGTTGTGGCCAGGTGAAGATCTGCAGTGTTGAGAGGCAAGGAGAAGATTAAGAAATACTCCAACCTTTCTCTCTTTTGCAACCTGACCTGCCATTGGCTAAACCCAAGCAAGTCTCACTGAGGCTATGTGCATGGCTTTGTTTTGGGGGATGGGGGCCAAATACAGAATAACAAACACTACTTTCCATTTTAGAAATGCAGAAGTCAAGGCTCAAAGAGGTCAAATACTTTCTCAAGTTTACGCAGCTAGAAAGTGGTGGGGTCAAGATTCATACCTTCATGCATACTTAGTCTGAAAGCACTGCCTCTGGAGGCTTCTGCAAGGAAGCAGGTTGATGTGGTAGGCACTTGCCAAAATCCTCTGGATTAACAGTATAAAACAGGCAGAATTCAAATAGGGGAAGCCTGTGGTTGAAATTGTAGCTGAATTCATCAAAAAAAGCAGTTAAGTTCAGACAAACTCTCTGAGAAATGATCTTTTTACATATATAATAATTCACTTCATTTGCAGGGAAATTCATTTGCCCAGAAATTTTCAAAAGTATTCTTGTGGTTATGCCTGCATGGTGCCAAACATCTAGATGGAAATAAAATTAACTGAATCTTTCTCAACATCCAAATTTTGGGCAGCAAAATATTTTAATATTTTAGTGAATTTACCAGCCAAATATTATAACAACTAAGATTTGAGTAAGTCTTTGTAGTTTTAACAAAAACTTTGATACAGTATACATTAACTCATTTAATCCACATAAGAATCTTGCTGTCTTAACATTACTATTCTGATTTTATAGATAAAGAAATTATCTGTAATTTCTTATAGAAAATTATAATTATTGGCTTAGAAAAACCAATGACATGTCCAACATCCAAGAGCTAGTCTATGGTAAGTCCAGGTCTCAAAATTCTCATCTTCTGGCTGTAAGCCCTGTGTTCTTTATAATTCACCAAGACACTTCCTCAGTGAAGAAATATCATAGGTCTTTAACAAATTGAAAACCCAGAAAACAAAACAATCCTGTTATCACTCTTTGCCAGGGATTAAAATGAAAATGTAATTGCAGTATTTGTTTTTAAAGGATGTTTCCACATTTCCTATCATTCAACATTAAGCAAGATAAAACAAGGAGAAACTGGAAACCTCCTAGGGGCCATTGCAGAGTCCAAAGGTATAAGGTAGACCCCAGGTCCATTGGCATCCCTTCAGACCTTATTCTGAACTCAAAGTTTGAGCAATAGGTCTGAATAGTGCTTTAACTGGTCCAGGTCTCTCTCTCACCAGGGAAGTGGTCTGTATTTCAAAGCTAGGTGTAGGCTATAGGCTTCAAGAGGAAACAGACCCTTTCTCCCACTCACAGCTAGCACAGAGCCTGGGACAGAGTAGATTTTCAATATCTATTACTAAAATAAGTGAATAAAACATCCCATCTACATGTAAACCACTAGACCAATAATTAAACAAGATGTGATCATTCACAATGCAAACTAAGTACTTCATTGTCTATCTATTCCTGGGGACAATGAGATGTGTGTAGAAGCACTTTGAAAGTGTAAAACATTCTATGAAAGTATAATATCACTACTACTACCACAACAAACACTACTACTCTTATCATATTTGTTATCTTCATCCTCATTGTTATTTTCATGGTATCATTGCCATTGCACAGATCTGTGCACTCAAGTCAAATTGACAAAATCTCCATCATTGTACTGCATATCTGTCTCTCCTGAATCATCCTCCATGCTTCTGTGCTCTATGGACTACATCAGCTTCATTGCTTTCTGGCTTCTGCTGGGTTTGATCAATGGGAGGCCCAGCAGAAAACTGGAGGATGAGATGAGAGAGAGGTCAAAGTATTTATTTCCTCAGTTTCTTGGCTTCTGTCTCTTGGGTGACTCTAGTATGGCTTAGTCTCTGCAACAAGGACGACGGCTTCTATCAGGCGGCTCTTTCCTCCAGTTATAGGCCTCCCCAGTTAGAGTAACTGCTCCCTGCTGTTGCTTCTCAAGCAGTAGTTGTGATGGCTTTCCACACTTTGCCAACTCCAGCGTGCTTCACTATTCTTTGTTGTTGAGTTCCCCAAACCACATGCATACCTTTGTAGATAGTCCCTTTGCTAAACTCTTTTCAATTATCCCTGTTAAGTTTACCATTTGTTTCCTGCCAGTACCATGACTGATACAGACAACTGAACATTTCAGTATAGGATGAGAAAAATAAAGCAAGCAAGGAAGATGCTTTTCTCCCCATGCGTCAGCCCCCACTTTTCTCTGAAAACATTCCGACCACTATTACCCTTGCTGTACAATGCAACTACTGCTGGTCTCCTCCCATGGCACAAGCTGTGGCCTATGTCCCAATGTCTGTGCCAGTGGCAGAGGAGTCAGACGACAAGGCACATGCTCCAGCAGCTTGTCCTGAAATTGGGAAAATAATGCAAGAGAGAGTATCACTTACTGAGTGTCATCACCAAGGAAATGGATAACACGAGAATAGATGAGTGCAGAGACACAGAGATGTGAGAAGGACAGAACCAGGTAAAAAGAGAGAAAAAAGGTCAGTAAAAAAAGAAGGAGTAAAAAGCAAAGAAGGTGTCAAGGCCATCTACTGACGTTAAAATGCAAGCCATTTAAAAACCAAAGGAAATCTAGAATTAAAAGAGCTATCCTTATGAAAAGCACTGGAGACAAAAGTCTGCTTGAGGCACAGGTGTAGACTGTCTGACAGGTAAGGAAAGCCAGGAAAAGGAAGAATTGGTTGAATTGGGCCATCAGTAGTAGCATGAGTTTAGCAGTAAAATGTACTCTATTTGCTCAAGGTAGAAATCAAATATTTGATTCCTAATGGGTTGATTAGACTCACTCTTCAACTAATTTATATAAATTTTCTGCTTTCCATACAGATATTAACATCATGTAGATATAAGTGGTAGCTGGATACTTTTGCAAAATGAGCTTAAAATTATTGAAATAGAAAGAAACACCTGGGGTCTCTGCCTCTCAAATGCTACATCCTATTTTAGTTCCTCTGATGGAATGGAAGGAAGAAAAGTGAGATTTGCACAGGAGACTCCTAGGTGATCTATATTTAAAAGCTCTTTCATGTGGAGCAGCACAGTTGGGAGTACACTTCAGAGGCTGATGGCGTTATTTAATTATGCTGATGTTTCCCTGTGTTCCTCGTGTTCTCTGAATGGTGTGTTAATATCCCACCAGGTGGATGCTCAGGAGCAATGAACAGAGGGAGTGGCAAACAGTCTCACTGTATTTAGCCACATCATGCAGAAGAGAAGACTGATGAGAAATAACTAAACACACCCCAAATTTATAGCATGATAATTGACAATTAGAACATTTAAGAGGGTAAAAAAAAAAAAGTTTAACAATCTGTTATATCTTCAGAAACTTTTACTACCAGAGTTTCAATCTTGTGTTTAGGTTTTCATGTACATGTTAGCAAATGGAAAGTTTAAAATAACATCAAATATAGCTTGAGAGAAGGGAATCTGTATATATACATTCCATATTTTGCCATCTTTTAAACATTTATCTTCAGAGAGATGTATTTTTATTGTTTATTTCTCAGTTTTCTAATCTCTAGTTTATTATGGTGCATATATCTTGTTAGGCTGTATGGTGCCAATTAAAAAAATTCATACTGCAGAATGGATTCCTATTTTTTAATATAGCTGTTCTTATATCACATACTCTTCTTGATGTTTTTCATCTTTTTAGAGCCAAAATGGGGTGTAAACATTTTAAGAGGATTTAATTCCAATACATATATATTCTTCATTTGAAATTGGAATTGATTTCCATTTTGTGCTATTAAAATAAATGTACTATTCCCAGACATTTAAGGGCCTTATGGTTGCTTGATTTCTCTTCTATATCATCTTTAGTTCATCAACCAAACCATAGCTTCTCAATCATTTTAGGACATAATCTATTCTTTTTGCATTTTTATGAATATGAAATCAGATGCCAGAATGACACTTATTTCTCTATCCTTAAACTCCCCAGTGACTGAGGTGAAAGTAAAACCCCAATGGAAGTCAGTTTTTACAATAATCTCCTTGCTCGTTATCTTTAAACCCTTTATTTTGAGCTGTTGAAGCCATTTAATTCTCACTTATAAAAACACTACTGTAATACATAATAATAATATAAATAGAGATAGAGTCTACATTTTACATTTTTCCTACCCTATTTCGAAAATTTTGAGACCTATATAAAAATAAAAACCAATTAGGCCGGGCGCAGTGGCTCAAGCCTGTAATCCCAGCACTTTGGGAGGCCGAGGCAGGTGGATCAGGAGGTCAGGAGATGGAGACCATCCTGGCTAACATGGTAAAACCCCGTCTCTACTAAAAATACAAAAAATTAGCCGGGCATGGTGGTGGGCGCCTGTAGTCCCAGCAATTCAGGAGACTGAAGCAGGAGAATGGCGTGAACCCAGGAGGTGGAGGTTGCAGTGAGCCGAGATTGTGCCACTGCACTCCAGCCTGGGCGACAGAGTGAGACTCGATCTCAAAATAAATAAATAAATAATAAAAACCATTTAGTATAACAGACACCTGTATACCCGTACCTAAGTTCACCAATTTTGAAACGGTGTCACATTTATTTCTCTTTCTCCGTGTGTGTGTGTGTGTGTGTGTGTGTGTGTACTAGTCCGTTTGTGTTACTATAAAGGAATAGCTGAGGCTGGGTAATTTATAAATAAGAGAGGTTTGATCAGCTCATGGTTCTACAGGCTGTACGGGAAGTGTGGTGCCGGCATCTGCTTCTTGTTAGGGCCTCAGGAAGCTTCCATTCATGACCGAAGCTGAAGGGGTAGCAGGCACAGCACATGATGAGAGATGGAGCAAGAGCGTGAGGGCGGGAAAGGTCCCAGACTTGTAAACAACCAGATCTTGAATAAACTGAGTGAAAATTCACTTATCATCAAGGGGTTTGTGCTAAACCATTTACGAGGGATCTGCCCCCATGATCCGATCACCTCCCACCAGACCCCACCTTTAACATTGGGAATCACATTTCTTTTAAATTTTATATTTTAGTTATTTATTTTTAATCAACTTGTATTTTAAGTTCTGGGGTACATGTGCAGGATGCGCAGGTTTATTACATAGGTAAATGTGTGCCATGGTGATTTGCTGCACAGATCAACCTATCACCTAGGTATTAAGCCCAGCATCCATTAGCTATTCTTCCTGATGCTCTCCCTCAGCCCCCACCTCTGACAGGCCCCAGTGTGTGTTGTTTCCCCCAATGTGTCCATGTGCTCTCATTGTTCCGTTCCCACTTACAAGTGAGAACATGCCACACAGTGTTTGTTTTTCTGTTCCTGTGTTAGTTCGCTGAGGATAATGGCTTCCAGCTCCATCCCTGTCCGTGCAAAGGATATGATCTTGTTCCTTTTCATGGCTGCATAGTATTCCATGGTGTATATATAACCATATTTTCTTTATCCAGTCTATCATTGATAGGCACTTGGGTTGATTCCGTATCTTTGCTCTTGTGAATAGTGCGGCAGTGAAAATATGCATGCATGTGTCTTTATAATAGAATGATTTATATTCCTTTTTCAACATGAGATTTGGAGAGGACAAATATCCAAACCATGTCAATATATTTGTTAAATATTCAAAGGCAAGTTGCAGACATCATTCCGCTTTACCTGTAGATACTTCAGCATGTGTTTCCAAGGAACAAGGATCTTCTAAATAGCCACAATATCATTCTCATACCCAAGAAATGTAGTATTAATACAACTATGTTACCTAATATGCAAGCTAGATTCAGATTTCCCTGAGCATCCCAATAATGTTTTTATAGCTGTATTTTTAAAAATCTTGGATCTAATTAAAGATCATATATTGCAATTAATCGGCTTTTGTGAAATCTGCCTTATAGATTTTAGTTTCTTCTAATGTACATACAAAAAAGGGGTGGAGCTCACAGATGTGACAGACGCTGTTGATGCCTCTCTTCATATCGCTGTGGCTCACCTGCAGCCTTGGTGGACATTGACTGTGTGAGGACAGCTTCTTGCCTCCTGTGCCTATGGTCACTCCACCTCCCTGCCACAGGGCTGTCTGCAGAGCTACGGGAGCTTGTTCAGCAAGCAGGATAGCTTGGAAGAGCTGGAGATTTCAGCACCCCAGGGACAACTCTCCATCCATGAAGTTCACAGCTTAGTACATGAATGCTCAATGTTCTCTTCCTTTGGTGGAACAATTCTGATGCTTGCTCTCTATATCACCTTACAGGGAGCTGAAGCCCATTTCTTCTTGCCCATTAGCACAATTTGAGGGACATCCCCGGCTGCCCTGTCCCTCTCATACTCAAGTGTGCTTCTTGGGATTACCTCCCAAATATGTTACCTGCACCCACGTCCTTGTTTAAGGATCTGCTTTGTGGAGAACCCAAACTAAATTGTCTACCATTATACCCTAACTAATGGCAAGCCAGGATTTGGACTCAGGCAGCCTGGCTGCAGAAAGCATGCTCTTAACCCCTAAACCAAATATCATTTTACATACAGATTTCCCTACAGGGTTAAGTCACTTAGCTAAGGTCTCAAGTCAGTAATTAGGGCTGAAATGGAAATGCAAACTCATATTTGACTCATTCCAAAACTGTCAACAATAACATAATTTAAGCCCAGTGAAACTTCAAAATGCAGAATATAATAAGGATAACAGAGACCAGATTATTTTCTCTCTTGAATTATGTTTAACTTTTTTGTTTATTACAGGAAAATTTAGTAAAGATTTTTTTTTTACTAAAAACCTATGAATCAACAAATATTTATTAAACCATGATTGAGTTCTAAGGGCTATGCTGGGTTCGGGGTAGTCATTAATCTCTACCCTCAAGGAGATTACAGTATAGTCATTGTAATTTATTGCTGTAGTAACTCAACAACATTAATAATAATAAAACACACACACACACACACACACACACACAGAACCTCTAAGTCTCAATGGAGAGAATTAATTTGTCATTCCACTCTTTTTCTCCAAGATATGTCCTTGTTACGATATTCCTCACTTTATTGTAGTTGTCTATTTATATATCTGTGTCTCCCACTAGACTTTGAGTTTTTCAAGGTCAGGGATCCCATTTTATCCTCAGCATCCAGCCCTGGTCTTAGCAGATAGCTATTAATTTATCTGTTTCTTCCACGTGGCCAGAGACTGTACTAAGCATATTACGTGCATTGCCTTTTTTAATAATCAAAACAATCCTATAATGTAGCACCTATTATTGTCTTTATATTCATTAATAAGGGCTTGTGGGATGGGGGTTTGCTAAGGTCACTTGGCTAGGAAGTGGCAGAGCTGAGACTCAATCCTAAAATTCAGCATGATTCCTTGCTCCTTTCTATATTCTGTGTCCCCGTAGTTGAGCTCTCCTGAAAACAGGGATCACTGAAAATGGTTCTGATCGCTTTAAAATTGTGCAGAATATTGCTTCTGCCAAGCCTCTCAATATGGCTGCACCCCCCAGCAGATGAGACAGCTGCCTTGTCTCAATTAACCTTTACTGAGATCGAGTTGGGTTGACATTAGCTCCCTAAGCACCTCTTCAATCACTCATTCATTCATTCATGCATTCATGGATTTTCATTTCAAATTGCTCCTTTGTGAACCAAGTTGGGAAATTCTCATTTTCACACATCACCTATTTTGATGGATTCTGCTCGGTTATTTTCTGTTTTCATGATTGACCAGCAGCCGTTTATACATTTTTTCAACCATCATCTCCTTTGCAGCAGTAGGCCTTCGACCTGTGATCGCTTTCAAGGAGGTAAATTACCAATTGTTGTTGTTTTTTTTTGGACTGCAGTTCCCTGGTAGCTTCAGTTTTCAAATGAAATTGAACAAGATGAATCTTTGTCACTTCCAAATCTATGAAATCTTAGCATACATATACATACATACACACAGATACTGTATGTCTGTGTGTGTGTGTGTGTGTGTGTGTGCCAAATTTTCAGCACCTTCATTAGTACTCATGGGGAATGTACTAATGGGAAATTTGCTAGTCATTTAAGTGGTGGATGTGCCAGTTACAGACTTTCCTGGCGGGGTGGCCAAGATGGTTTTTATAAATAAAGTTTTATTGGAACACAGCCATGCCATTTATGCACTGTCTGTGGCTGCTTTTGTGCTACAATAGTAGGGTTGAGTAATCACAGCAAGAGAACATATTGCCTGAAAAACCTAAAATATTTATTTTCTGAAAACAGAGAAATGTTGGAATAGAGAAAAGAGCACAGTTATACAATCTCCGAACCTTGACTCTGCCACTTAGTAACTGAGATCGTTTGGGAAAATCATTATCTTTCTGAACTTTGGTTTTTTTAATCTATACAATTATGTTAATAATGAATGTGAAAATGCTTTGTATTTGGTCAACTTTTATCCAGACTTTAACAGTAAAACATCTGGGAAGAGCAGGACTGACAACTATATCAGTTAGCTTTTGCTGCGTGACAAACTACCCTCAAACTTAGTGGCTAAATAAACCAATAATGTATTGTTTTTACAAGTCTTTGGGTCAGGTGGGGGTTGGCTGATCTTGACTGGGCTCAATTGAGTGAATTTTCTGGTCTCTGCTGAACTCCATCACACACTTTATGGCTGGCTGGAGGGTGTTTCTTATGTGATTGTATTTCATCTTCTTCCTGGGACCAGTAGGCTAGCCTAGGCAAGAGCATTGGCACAAGAGACCAAGCTCAATCACCTAAGCAGTTGTAAAGACTTGCCATGCATTATAACTGCTAAGATCCCATTGATCAAAGAAAGTTCACATGGTCAAAGTCAGGAACAACCATAACAGGAGGCCAGGGCAAGGTCACATGGCAAAGGATGTGGATACAGGGAGTAGTGAAGACTTGAGGTCATTCGTGAAATGTATTAAAGCATTGTTTGAGAAAATGAGATGGTGAGATAAAAATTGGTACAACTTCTTTGGACAACAGTTGGGCAGCACATAAGAAAAACATTATATATATATATATATGTGTGTGTGTGTGTGTAGTATTTCACTCAGCTATCACATTCTAAACATTTATGCTAGGAGACTCATCATGGATGAATATAAAGATTTATCAGTAAGGATACTAACTATAACATTCCTGATAAGGGTAAAAACCTGAAAACAAATGTCCAAAAATTGAGTCGTAGTGAATAAATTATGGCCCATTCACATGATGGAATAACATAAAACCATTAAAAATGAGAATAAAGAAGAATAATGCTATGGAAAAAAATGCATGATATATTGCATAGTGAAAAAGGTCATAAAATAATTTCTATAATATATTCATGTTTTGTTAAAAATGAACATATATACATAGATGAGAGAATATGTATATATTAAAATATTAACAATGGCTATGTGTGAAAAGATTAGCATGAAGTTTTATTTTCTTCTTTGTAATTTTTCTGGGCTATCCAAATTTTCCAAAATGATCATGTATTTTTTTGAATAAAAATTGCTTTACACAAGGTAAAATAAGTTAAATCATCTTTTTAAAAAAGCATGGGAAAGAAGTATGGCCAGAGCAATCAGTATATATGCCATGGGTTGCCGATTCTTGCTTTCAGAGTTTTTCTTTGTTCTCCCAGAGGCATTGTAAGATAATGTGCACTTCATCTATTGATTGAAAATGCATGTTATTTCAAAGGAGTAACTTGTTGGATAGGAATCATTTATGTCTATGTAGCTATGCATCAATTGTACTGCTCTTGTTTAAGTTATTTATTGTGAATTAGAATTATGATTAATCTTTGCCTAAACATTTTTTATGTACAACTATTCCCTTGCCACTTGCAAAAGCCTGTTTTAACTTTGAAACACCTAAGAGATGGCAGATTACAATAGTATTGTCAGGTTTTGTACTAATATGTTGAAAAATAATATAATTGCCAATATGTGACATATTAGAAGAAAAATAAACTCAGAGTACATATGTGACTCACTTACATGCTTTTCCCTTCAGCCTTTTGTCTACTCCTCTCATATTTCTTGTTGTTGTACTTGTTAAGATTTATATTGTGGAGAGGAAGTTTCCTTCTCCATAGCTATCTTTGGTCAATAGAAATGTATCCAACAAAGCATTAATTCTATTCTCAAATGAGAACCACTTGTAAATGTTCATGGATACAATGAGGCAGTAATTAGTCATTAAGAATATATAGAATGAGGCAATGCCATGGGTCTTGACAGACATACAGGCTGGCTACCTATTTCAGAACAAAATAATAGTAATATGAATAACAATAAATCTGATCATTGCACATGCTTAAATTTTTATAATTGCATATGTTTAAAAATTGATCATTACATATGTTTAGCAAAATAAACGGTATAGTCACAAATATTCAAAAGCAGGCAGTATGTATGGTTCCAAGTCTGCCACTGGGAAATACATCCCACTATATTCAAGTGCTCACTTTTTTCAATAACTTTAATGCACACTGCAAATTTAAAAATTTGCTTGTAGTTTATGTGATAATCACAAGCTGCTTTACAGAAAATATTTTTAGGGGAATGAATAAATAATTTGTGATATCACCATACAAAGGAACATTATACAGTGATGAAGATGAATGAACTAAAGCCACAGGTATCAACAAGAATGAGTTTTACAAAAATGATGTTGAACAAAAATGCAAGTTGCAAAAGTATACTTATGGTACACTTAAGTTATGTCATCCATATGAAGTTTAAAACCATGCAAAACAATAGTAAATATTGCTTAGAGACATACATATAGTAGATAGATGTAATTTGTCTATACACTAGCTGTTCACTGTCTACACATTAGCTAGACGTTAGTGATGATAAATCCCAAACTCAGCAGAGGGGTTCTTGCTGAGAGCAAAGGGTGGAGTACATTTGAGGAAAAGTTTATAGAGGGCTTTCAGTGTATGGGCAATATTTTAATTCTATAGTTGGTTCCTGAGTGAGATGGAATTTATGATGTTATTTGTATACCTTTCTATACAACTCAAATATGCTGTAATAAAAATTTTAAATAAATGTTCTGGAAGGCTCAGGTAGATGCCCCTTGACACAAGTGTGACTAAAAGAAAGAAAAATTTTTTATCAATCTTAGATAAAAAGGTGACAAATTGATTTAAAAGGATTTACAGCAGTGCATTAAGGTAAAATGCATTAACGTAAAAACTTGAACACAGTCTTTAAGAACGTGAACTCAGTACAACTATGTGGAACAAAGTTTGTCCATCCAGGAACTTATTCATGCTGACACTCATGTTTGTACTGAAGGTCCTTAATTTCAAGAAACTGCTTACTGAATGTTGGGGAAAGTTTCCATGCCTGAGAATTTAGTGCTGTTAATCTTCTGCCACATTTGTGCTAGGTCCATTAGACCATTTCAGGTCTTGTCTGTTTTTATTACTTGTTATATTTCTAGCAAAGTTAAAGCTTTTAACACTGCTTGGGTGCCTGTGAAGTTGATGAATTCCTCTGCTGCTGATGGTGTCTCATGCTGATCCTCTAATGGGTGCATTGAAATATAATCTGCTGCATTATTTGCTTTCCCTGGCCCCTGCACAATTTTATAACCATAACCATGTAGATATTTTAAACCCCATCACTCAGAGCACATTGCTGCCTTGAACTGTGAACTGCCAAATATTGTCATGAGTACCTGATGATCTGTTACCATAGTAAATGCTGAGCCGTAAATGAATAAACGACAGTGTATGAAAACCAGGAGGGCTGGCAGGTCTCTCTCAAGTTCCCGAGGATGGTTAGGACATTCTTAAAATCGGTCTTGCAAAGAAGAAAGTAAATGCACTTTCACCTAGATTGGAAACAAGATATGTTTTCACAGATTTAAGAAAGCCCTCATAAATCTGGTGATGGAGTCTTTTTGTTTTTTCTTACTGTTAGGTAATGGCCTGTAAGTTTGGATATTGCAAAGCATGCTAGAGTTATTACCTTCATTTTCATTTGTCAAATGGCTGGGAATACACAAAATTATTTTACAATGCTTGACACTATAATAGCTTCCCAGTCAATGAAGCAGTAGAAAAGCCATATTTCTAACTGGGTCCCAAATTCTAATTTCTTAAGAAACTGAGACACGGTTGGTCTTGGTGTTGCAATGTCTCCATCTATAAAATAGAGATAATAATGGTTTCTCTGTTGTGGTATATATATACACAATGGAATACTACTCAGCCATAAAAAGGAATGAATTAATGGCATTTGCAGCAACCTGGATGGGATAGGAGACTATTATTCTAAGTGAAGTA
This sequence comes from Homo sapiens, assembly GCF_000001405.40. Taxonomy (NCBI): domain Eukaryota; kingdom Metazoa; phylum Chordata; class Mammalia; order Primates; family Hominidae; genus Homo; species Homo sapiens. Next base: position 204,510,460 of record NC_000002.12, on the reverse strand, counting down.
ACTCAGGAATGGAAAACCAAACCCTGTATGCTCTCACTCATAAGTGGGAGCTAAGCTATGAGGATGCAAAGGCATAAGAATGACAGAAGGGACTTTGGGGACTCAGGGGGAAAGTATGGGAAGGGGTGAGGGATAAAAGACTACAAATTGGGTGCAGCATATACTGCTCAGGAGATGGGTGCACCAAAACCTCACAAATCACCACTAAAGAACTTACTCATGTAACCAAATACTATCTGTTCCCCAAAAACCTATAGAAATAAAAAAATTAAAAAAAAACACACATCTCCACTTATCCTCCACTTCCCCATTACCCTTACCAGCCTGTGTAACCATCCTTCTATTCTCTATCTCCATGAGTTCAATTGTTTTAATTTTTAGCTCCCCCAAACAAGTGAGAACATACATTAACAAATGTAGTCTAAAACAATAAATAGAACAATATATGCAAAAAATTATAGTTTCTCTGGCCTGAGGTATTGTAAAGATTAGTTCATGTTTAAAACGAACTTTAAAAATGCAAAGCACTGGGCCGGGCGCGGTGGCTCACGCCTGTAATCCCAGCACTTTGGGAGGCCGAGGCAGGCGGATCACGAGGTCAGGAGATCGAGACCATCCCGGCTAAAACGGTGAAACCCCGTCTCTACTAAAAATACAAAAAATTAGCCGGGCGTAGTGGCGGGCGCCTGTAGTCCCAGCTACTCGGGAGGCTGAGGCAGGAGAATGGCGTGAACCCGGGAAGGCGGAGCTTGCAGTGAGCCGAGATCCCGCCACTGCACTCCAGCCTGGGCGACAGAGCGAGACTCCGTCTCAAAAAAAAAAAAAAAAAAAAAAAAAAAAAAAAAAAAAAAACAATGCAAAGCACTGTATGAAAGTTAGAAAAACAAGCTATAGAATATCTAAATCTTGATTTTTTGACACTGTAAAGCTCAATTATAAGTTTATTTTATTCGATGCCTTCTTTTACATTTTTCATATTAAAAAAGAAAGAAAACTAAACTTATTCTACCACATGTTTCATATAGCTTAGGATTTACAGTATCCTTCATGTATCTACATGAGTGCTGAAGATAATAAAATACTTGCGATTTCTAAAAAAAATTTCACTTTATTTAGGCTACTCTTCGATGTGTTTAAAGAACATAGATTGCTTTTCAGTATACTCCTCTTTCAAAGATAACTTTTTCCATAAAAAAGGATACGAGATTTAAATATTGTTTAGTTGGTGCACACAAAGTTTACTCAGTTTGTAAATTCACTGTGTATCCTTTTGTCTGGCTCTGATCTTTTGAATCTTGTGTCCCGGTCCTGATTACCAGGTTTCTGTTCTGTTTCTTTATGCCTGGCACTCCAGCCATGGAGAAAGGGACTCATATTTCTACACCTGTCACCTTCTGAGATACATAGCAAGATGGCCTTTTGTTCAAACAACAGTGTTCTATTTTTTCAGCCCCTCTATCAATTAATTGAATGAAGATGTAACAGCAGTTTAGTGTTATTATGCCAGACACTGTACTAGGCATTTTACATATTTCATCCAATTTAACTGCCACTACAACTCAATGAGGTTCATGCTGTATTTATCTCCATCTCACGGTTGGAAGACAGAGACTCAGAAAGGCTAATAATTTTCCCGAAGTTACAGAGTGGCAGAGGCAGGATTCAAACCCAAGCCTGTTTAGTAATCTTTTGATGCCTCCCCTCCTTTTTTCAGTCTGCAGAAAAATCAGCCATTGTGGTTTTAAAATATGTCCACCATTCTTTGGCATTTCTTCCTTCAAAAGGCAGAGCTAATTCTCATCATATAATTTGCAGAAGTGACTGCGTGACTTCTAAGCACATGGATGGTGTCGCAGCTTCCTCCTCGAAGGATCTTTCTCTTGGCTCATCACACTGGGGAAAACCAGCCACCTCTCCTCAGTCAGCTCAGTGCAGAGGTCCACAAGGCCTGAGGACTCCTGCCAAAAACCAGCATCACTTTGCCTGTCATGGGAGGAAGCCATCTTGGACACTGTTCTTCCAGTCCAGTGAGGTCCTCAGATGACTGGAGCCTTGGTCTACATCACGACCCCCAGCCTCATGAAACATATTAAACCAGAAGCACACAGCTAGGCTGATCTCGATCTCCTCACCCACAGAAACTGTGTGAAGCCATAAATGTTAATTGTTTTAAAATGCTAAGATTCAGGGTAATTTCTCATGCGGCAATATACCAGCAAATAGAACAGATAGCAGAACTGACAAGTGAAGTGATCACAGCGGTTTGGAATCCTAGGCTAAAATCAGGAACAAAAAGTTAAAAACAATTGCTTTTCTAGACATGTACAATCAATTGCCATAAGTTAAATTCCTAATACAGAAGCAGTTAATTTTGAAATATTGAAATTGATCACAACTTCAAACTGAGCTGCCAAAGTAATTCTTAAACAAACACACACACACACACACACACATACAAACAAACAAACACACAAAATCAATGTTTGTGTTGTCTTGGGCAGCATTCATGGAAACAGGATCATCCTTTCCCTGCCATCTTCTGGACAGGCCAGACCATGGCTAAAAACTCAGTTCTGTTCTGCGGACCCTATTTTAAGAAGCACGTGAACAGCCAAAGCACCACCCAGGATTGTGAGAGACTGGAAACCACGCCCAGTGAAGCATCATTTGGGAATCTGGGGTTCTTTGGTTCTGAAACAGCTAGACGAATCGATATAATTTTGCTGTCTTCAACTTTTTAAAGAGTTATAGCACATATGTGGAGGAGAACTTGTTCTGTGTTGCTCCATGGTGCAGAAATAGAATTACTGGAAGCCAGTTCTAGGAGGCCCCTGGTGCTGTCAGTGCTGGAGTGTCCAGGAAGAGATAGTGTTAATTTTCAACGAAGCTCTAGAGAAAAGGATGACCCCCTGCCTGAGAGGTTAGACTGCAAAACCCAGGAACCCTTTACATCTGTAATTCAGTGGCATTAGGACCCAATTTGGATGTTGGTGTGGGTGGCAGCAGTTACACTGGTAGCCTGGACTGTTCATATAGCTCATTCATGTCCCGAACTTGATCCCAGAAGGAATCATTGTTTCTTATACCATGAATAAGGGATGCAGGAGAGGGCTTATGCTGCTACCCTTGCATGCGGCGGGGTGGGGGATGGCCACTCTCTGGGAGATGTCTGCTACTTGAGATTGACAAAGAAAGAAGCTGCCCTGTCCTTTTTTAAAAAAGTTTTTTTTTGAGAAAGGGCCTGGTACTGTCACACAGGCTGGAGTGCAGTGGCACAATCGTGGCTCACTGCAGCCTCAACCTCCTGGGCTCAAGCAATCCTCCTACCTCAGCCTTCTGAGTAGCTGGGACTATAGGTAGGCATCACGATGCCTGGCTAAATTTTTATTTTATTATTATTTTTTGTAGTGACAGCGTCTCACTATGTTTCTCAGGCTGGTCTCAAACTCCTGGGCTCAATCGATCCTCCTGCCTCAGCCTCCCAAAGTGCTGGGATTACAGGTGTGAGCCACGGCACCTGGCCTGCCCTGTTCTTGAGTACCACCTCACTGTTATTTCCCCAGAGCAAATGTACACTGAGCTTGCTGAAAGTTTGAAGAAGTTTTATTTTCCACTTTATTTTTAAGTTCCTCTGTGTTAAATTATACACAAATTCAAAGTGTATTCATGTTATACATGCTGCTTTTAGTGTAATTTTTTTCTCATTTTGTTTTGCATTCCCCTTCCCCTCCATTCTATTCTATCCACATTAGACCTCCTTACCCCAAAAGGTTACCCATGTTAATAATCCAGTACCCATATCCTTCTATATGTCTCTCTGTGCTCATGTACATGTAAACACATATGTATTAAATATATCCACCTAGACAGAGGGCTTTTTGGTGCTGGTTCATCAATGTGGAATCATATTATACATAATTGCCTGCATCTTACCTGTAACAGTTCTCATTTCTACTTGCAATGCACAGGAATACTCTTTTGCCTAAGGTATAATGGCTCTTCATATTTTTTTGTCAAACCAATGCACACTTTCTCATTGTTACTTTAATTTGCATTTCTCTGACTTGTTTGTAATTTTGAGCTACTTTTTATATGTCTGTCAGCATTTGGATTTTACTCTTCTGGGAGTTGCCTGTTCATATCTTTGGCACCTTTGTTATTGGGCCTGTTCCTTGTTAGTTGTAAGGAGACTTTGTGCATTATGGGTATTGTCCTTTTTGTGAGAGCTAATGAATAAGCAGGGCACATGCGAACCGCAATAAAATGATGACTACATTGTGGAATTCTTACTCTTCATTAGGAATTCCTCACGAATCCCGTGACACCAGTATCTTGGCATACTGACCACATGATGTGGCCATGGTCATTTTTACACTAAATTCTCAGTAGAGCTTAAATAAAAACTATACAAAAATAAATATTATGGCATTTTCCCTTCTCTACTCAATAGATCCTCTTGTATAATAGCACCTAGGAAAATGTACACACTTTAATTTCAAGAGGAATGCCTATTCCTCAGTTCACATCACCCTGATCTTAGTCCTTGGAAGATAGTAACACTTGCCTTATTTTGATGAAGGAATACATGGACCTCTGTCTAAGTCATTTAGGATGTATACCACCATTCTGAAATATTTTTTCCTTGATCATCATTTTTCTAAATGTTTTATTCTAACTCACACGTTTCTCCCTGACTGGAGTGAAGGGAGTTAGGGGGGTGAGCAAGGGAGAGGGACTGTTCAAGGTCACTCACCTCACATTCAACACAGCAAGATAGCAGCAAGTCAAAACATTGCACAGATGGGTGAGAAAGCAAGATTAGTCAGGAGTAAGGTTTAACCTATAAACTTGCTGGAAATGCACCACAAATCTGGTACTGAGCTTTCTTGCAGCTAAATGAAAAAGGGAAAAGCAATTGCCTATAAACTTCACAGTATTCACAAGTTAAATATTAATCTGTCGCTCAGGAAATAGCTCAAATATCCCTATAATTTGGCCAGAGATTAATTTTTTTCCATAGGGCTATTCATGTCACAGAGGACATACATTTCAGCCTATTTTTCCTTACCTAAGAAGAAGGGCCTGACTAAGGATCATCTCCTTGGTTTTTTCTTGCTCTTGTATGCTCTGACAGCTTGCTTTTTTGTGTTAACTTTTTGTTTGTTGTATAACTTCCCAGATATCATCCAATATGCCATTGACTGTGGGCATGTTCTTCTGATCCCATCATTTAGTTATGTCGAATTTGCCAGAGCTAAGTATGAGGCACAAAATCAGAAGACCTGTCTTTAAAGATTATGTGGGTCTTTTTAAATACTTCTTGTATTCTATATCCAGTGTCTGGAGCTACTAAAGGACTTTCCATACCAAAACACTACATCCTCTATCATTATCGTCTTCGAGTAAAACCACCACTCATGATGTAAATGAATTCTTTTGCTCATAATTGATATAGCAACTTGCTGAGTTGGTGGCTTTAGGTAGAATAGCTCCTATAGTATTTTTTAAATTAATAGACTATTTTTAGAGCAGCTTTAGAGTTATAGAAAATTGCTCAGACAGTACAGTAAGTTTCCATATATTCCCCCACTCAGTTTCCCTTACTACAAACATCGTGCATCAGTGCAATACATCAGTTATAATTGGTGAGCCAATATTGACACATTATTATTAACCGAAGTCCATGGTTCACTCTTTGTGTTATATAGTTCTGTGGGTTTTGTCAATGCACAGTGTCACATATCCACATTACAGTATCATACAAAATGGTCTCTTACTGCCCTGGCTTTAGGTCTGAGATAGTTCTGATAGTATTTTTTTTTATCACCTTTTAACATCTTACATGAGGTTATCTTATTAATGTTCAAAGACAAAAATAATATAATGTCCAAGTGCCCTCCAAAGATGGTCACATGTTTTAATTTAGCACATGGCTAAATTTCATCTCAGTTTAGAATATATATTTTTGTGGGACTTCGTTGTCATTTTCCATAGAAATTTATGACATTTGGAAATTCCTCTGGGGTACTCAATCCCATCATCAGTGTATTATCCCAAAAGAGCACATGGTGGCTTAGCGCAACATTCTGATGTTACAACAAGATGTCTAACTAAACATTCGAGACATAGCACCTAAGCAGTCCTTTCCTAAGCAGCATTATACTATTCCTAAATATTTGATGAATTCAATGAAGTGAGTCCTTCAAATTTTAAAGTGTTGTGAATTTATGCTCAGTAGAAAGCACTTCTAGAAATATGGAAGCCTGCAATTATTGTGTTATTTTGCCATCTGTCCCTTAAATGTATTGAGCATGCAAGAAAAAGATATAATACCCAGATACTCAGACATGCCTTTTACTTCACGTCATCATGATGTTTCCTGAGGTCACAGGCATGTGAGGCATCTGTGGTCATCAGTTAGATAAGTTATCATCTTTGGCCAGTGACTATGTCCTCAGTGAACATATCCGTGTGAACAGAGAGAGATATTTATTTACATGTGATTATCCATTAAGTTAACAAATTTTTATTGAGTCCTGCTATATACTAGGTATTGGGCTAGATGACACAGATAAGTCAACAGACAATTATAAGACAGGGTGAAAGTACATGAACATGGCATTTTAATGCTCACAGGCAGTCAAATCCTTGTGTTACAACTCATTTCCCAACTAAGTAAGTTGAGGCTAGGAAAGGTCACCTAGCAGTTGAATAGCAGAGCCAGGAATAGAACTGACTCTTAGTTAAGCACTCTCCTCTCCCTTGCCCCGTTCCCTTTTTTGTGTGTGTACTTAAACAATATTGTACTGTTCTGCCAAATTCGTGACATCTTTAATATTTTAATTTGTGCCTACTGTATTCCTTGGGATGATTTGAGGAGAAGGAAGATGCCCACAGAATTCTAGTGATGTTTAATTTAATTTGCCTTGGATGAAATTGAAGCTAAAATTGTTAGCCGAAAGACATACATAAGGAGGTATGAAAACCCAAGTATTGTTGTTGTTCTTTTCCAAGTTTGTTACAGATTAGAATTTCATCACTGGAGTTAAAAGCACTGGGGACATGTTGAATTACTTTCCTGATGGTATCTTTAAAATTTTCTCAACAGCTGAGTTTATTTTAGACATTAATCTTAGAGGCTGTCTCAAGAAAACACAAAAAGAAAAAATTTTTCAAATAACAAGATCTTGTAACAAGTTCTGAGGGTCACCTTTGTTCAAATCTGGCTCAGAAAAGACAGATGAACCATTGAGCAATTGAACTGTATCTGTTAAAATTGACCAGATAATATATATGTCTCCTTCTATCTCTTCATCTGAGTGATTCACACCAATGCAAATTCTGACCTACCTCTATTATTCAGTTTAAGAAGAGAAAGTATAAAAGATATATTAGTGCATGGTGCTGGATCAGTCACTGTCCTGATTTTATCTCTGCCTTTTTCATTCTTTTAAATTAGATTCTTCATTTTTCTTAAGCTTTCATGTTTCTTCATTTTTGTCGTGCAGCGTCCATAATTTCTCAACATTTGCAGCTAAGTCAGGCTGTAGAATATATCAGCTGTATTTTTAATGGTACACATGAAATTGCACTATAATATCCCAAAGGCAGAATACTGATTCTATTAAATTACAAATAAATGTAGAACATTCAGGGATGCTGGAATTACAACAAATGGTATGTCATCTAACATGTGGAACAGAATGTTTTCTCAACAGCTAAAAATTGCTTTTATTGTCTGAATATCGTAAAGGAGCTTTAAGTTGTGTTTAAAGTATGCTAATAGAGTGGAACACACATTTCGACGGACATATAATATTATATGCTAACCAGGTTCTAGGAAGCTTTTATTCTTTGCAGGTGCCCTATTTCTGAGGAATTGCCTTGACCCATGGTCCCTCTGAACTAGTGTAATAATAAGTCACAAAGATCCCAGAGTAACTCATTTTTGCCTTTTACAGTTTACAACAGTACTTTCATATACTTATCTCATTTTGATCCCATTTATAACCACACAAGGGATATGATTCTCAGCATTTTACCTATTACACATATGGTCCTTTATTTTCAGGGGGCTACGTTGGAAGGGAACTAACACTACTTGCCTACTATAAGACTTGTTGCTTAGAGCTCCTCTTCAAAGAGCATTTTTACATCTTTTTCTTGCTAAAAGATGTAAGTGTTCTGAACTCAAAACACTTCCCTTCTTGATTAATAACAACCAATCAAATTGGGAAGTGGTGGGAAAAGTGGTAGGAAGAAAATGAAATAAACCTTCAGATCATCAGGAAAGGAAAATTAAAGTAACCCTACCTGTGGAAAATACTTATTTTTTCCTAACAGAGGCCTGGAAATATCATAGCCTGAAGCCCCCATTTTGTCCTGGTCAGAGCACAGCAATCTATTTGCATTCCTGAACAGATCACCAAACCATAATGCCGGCAGCAGACATTGTCACTATGGATGTCCTGCCTGTATGCTAACCTGGTGCCACTAACTGACTGACAGTTCCCTAGTAGGAGGCTTCCTGTGTCTCTCTGCCTCCAGACACCCATGGGTCCTGGGAGCAAGGGAAGCCAGAATGTGGGGCAGACTGGAAGTGCCAGGGCATTAATGCCCCCAGGAGTGACCTCCACCACGGAGGTCTGGTTGTTAGTGGATGTGTTAGTCTGGGTCCTCTGTGAAGCAGACACCAAGAGGAGATTAAATGGACACACAGGAGAAATGCTGTGTAAAAGAAAATAGAGAAGGGGTCAGGAAGGCTGGGAGAGCTACCAGACCATGACGCAGGTCCAACCCCCAGGGAAGTAGAAAAAGAGAAGTTTGGGTGGATGCATCCTACACTGTGGTACAGAATAAACTGTCAGCAAAGCTGTTAGCAAGTCCTTGAGCTGAAGTCACCAATGAAGGAGTCCCATGTCCCCCAGGTACAGGCCCACCCTAGTATCTCCACCACCTTGGTCACTGGCAAGGAGTAGCCCTGAGAGATGAGGTTCAGCCCAAATCTGTCGACGGATTTCAGAGCATGGCTGCTGGGCTCTCAGCCAATTCGCCTGCTGGAATAGTTGGTCTGCAAGGTGCAGGCTCACGGCTGCTGGGGTAGATATAAACCCAGAAACTGTGAGGGGACAGGTCTGAGGTATGTTCCACACAGTTCCTCAGTGAGTTCCCAGCAGGACTAGGCCCCAGTTGTCCATTGCAATAACCCACTTTTACTGGCATTTCTTGTCTCACTTCTCTCTTTTCTCACTGTGCTTCCTGGCGTCAACTCTCAAATAAACTGCTTGCACCTCAATCCTGACTCAGGGCCAGCTTTTGGAGAAATCCAAACTAAGACAATGCCTTTCAATGATTAAGGGCTTTGTCTACCTTGCAGCAGGTCCTTTCACTGTGGCCGATTGGGATTGCCATTTTTATGCTCAAAATGAGAGTACTGAGACATCAAAACAGTTGGCGTTTACCTATTAGTGAGTCCCAAAGATATTTCTCCCTCTTCCCCCTCTCTTGAATCCCACCATCTTCTTAATTTTCCCATGCCTGACTGCCCCCTAAATAGGTGAGAATGGCCCTTAGCAAAATATTTCTTCAAAATCTTTGCTTAGAATTGCTCTTTCATCTTTAATAGAATGAGAAAGGGGTTAATTAGGGCCAGAACAATTAAGACAAAACATGCACAGAATATTCTATTTTATCTTTGTGAGACTCATACGGCTTGATTTGTGTTTTACCTGATGATGGGCGTGGCCAGTGTAGCAAGAACGGAGGCATTTGAATGGCATACCAGGCTCATCCCCTGAGCCTGGGAGATCAGCTGCCTTCCCACTCTGGCAGAATAGAGTGAGTTTTGAGTTTTACATCCTGCAAAACCATCAGTCAAGGGGTCAGGATAGGGGTCCCTGACTTCTCGGGTTAGGTCCCAAGGTAGGTTTGCCTTAAAGTCACTATGACAACATGGGTGATTGGGCTGTACTGTAAGCTGACTGGTGAGGGACAGATGCAGGGGGACCACCCAGGCACCCCACAACTTCTTGTTCCGCTATCTCCAGTGAGTTGAACGGAGCTGGCACTGTTTTGTGCTCTCCATTCTTGCATGCAGCGCTCTTTACTCCCAGCCACAGCTCCTATTCTTGTCACAATTGAGTATCACCCTTACAGGTGCTTCCTGAGACTTCAGGGTCTCCTAGTACTACAATCTGGATGACACAGTCACGATGGTCCTCTTGAGAAGCACCCAATCCTAACCCTCTTCATTTTTTAAATTTCAACCCCAAATTCTAATGAGGGAAGATCACAATTACGGTATTGCCAAGGGTTTCATCATTCAAATAAATGCCAATCCCTATTACCATGATTTTCATAGAAGTACAGTTGTCCCTTAGTATCCAGGACCCTGAGGATGACCAAATCCATGGATGCCCAAGTCCCTTATATAAAATGGCATAGTAGTATTTGCATATAAGCAATGTACATCCTCCCATGTACTTTAAATCAATGCTGGATAATTTATAATACCTACTAAAATGTAAATGCTACGACAATAGTGGTTATACTGCATTGTTTCTTTATTTGTATTATCATTTTATTATTTTTACTTTTTTAAAAAATATTTTTCATCTGAGATTGGTTGAATCCACAGTGGAACCCTCCCATATGAAAGGCCTGCCATAAATATATTTCAACACTAAAAATTAGAAAGAATGTTATCTCAAGACCGGATGCAGTGGCTCATGCCCGTAATCCCAGCACTTTGGGAGGCCAAGGCTGGTGGATCACCTGAGGTCAGGAGTTCAAGACCAGCCTGGCCAACATGGCAAAACCCTGTCTGTACTAAAAATACAAAACATTAGCTGGACATGGTGATGGGTGCCTGTAATCCCAGCTACTTGAGAGGCTGAGGCAGGAGAATTGCTTGCACCTGGGAGGCAGAGGTTGTAGTGAGCCAAGATCGTACCATTGCACTCCAGCCTGGGTGACAGAGTAAGACTCTGTCTAAAAAAAAAAAAAAAAAGGAAAGAGTATCTCAGGGTAAAGAAAAACTGTTCCCAAGAAAGAACACTTTGTGACTTTATACTAATGTTGATATGTTTTTAAATTTCTTCACACACAGTACTAGTCTGGCAACTGGCATTTGGGAACTACCAATATGAAATAACATTAATAATGAACATTGTTTACTATGTGTCAGACACTGCACTATTGCTTTACAAGCATTATCTCATTTAATTCCCAGAATAACACTTGAGGTAAGCACTGTTATTGTTTCTATTTTACAGGTGAATAAACTGAGGCAATGAGGATAAGTAGCTTGTTCAAGATTATCCAGACATCAAAGAGCAAAGCCAGACTCAAACCCTGCATTTGAACTCCAGAGCCTACATTTTTAAGCCCTATAATTTACTTCACTGGTTCTCCAAACGTGGTCCAGAAACCAGCAGTGTCAGCATCACCTGGGAACTTATTAAAAATGCAAATTCTTGGGTCTCACTCCAGCCCTAATGGATCTGAAACAAGATGGGGCCCAGTAATCCGTGCTTTAGCAAGATGCTAGTGGATTTTGCAGCATGATAAAGTTTAAGAACTGCCACTCTAAGAAATGCACAACAATAATATATTATTTGCTATCTGTTTATTTTATAGCTCTTTGCAACAATATTGCTTATGGATGGTGCAGAGTTGGGATCTTGAACTTTTATCCTCTGTAGTATAGGCCATCTTGTGGACCTCTATGAAACACTCATTAAATGGAAAAGGAAATGCTGCCGTATATGTCTTGAATGACTTAAGCTCATTTGTGTATAAAGATGAGATGCTAGATTAGAGAACTTTTTGAGATTCTTTGCATCTTCAACACCATAATATTATTCCTGTCTCTCATTGCATGTGTTTGTGATAATCAGGAATTACATGAATATAAAACTAATATAACATTTTGCTTGCATGTGCGATAATCATTAAAAACACAGCATGAATGATAGCAACACATGGCATTTAAAAATAAGCTTTCCAATTATGCCAGGAGACGCAGAGCTCATTTTATTTTGCCACAGACTTCGTAATATTGGTAAGTAAAGGTTTGAAGAAGTGGCTTTCTTTGGAATACATTAGAAAGATTTCTTTTTTTCTTTTTTCCTATGTGCAACATTGGTGCTGCACCTATCTCACAGGTGCAGATCAACAGGACAATTTTCTAAACTTGCTTTTAAAGAAAAGTCCTCTAGAAATATACGGTATTAGATTAGAGATATTAAAACACAGAAATTTTGCAATCCCACAATTGAATTACATTTCACATGATGGGTTCTTGATATTACATATGATTGAGCCCAAACAATATGCTTTGGAAACTATCCAGACTTATAATTATAAAAGGAATTTGAAGTGTATGGGTGTTCTGCAGTTTCTTATCAAAAGTGTAATTGAAGACTTCCTTTATTTCACTATCTCAAGTATGGCATTATATGCCCATCACTCAGAGAGAGATAAACAAATTTGATGCTCATTTTTAATCTCCATGCCAGCAACAACATTCTTACCCACCAGGCCAAGTTCTTACATAGAATTTGTTAGACTACTAAGATTTAATAATGTTTATTTACAGAGATCCAAAGGGTGCTTTACTATTAATACTGCATTCCCAGATATTTTTATTATCCTTCACTGAATGTAATTGGCAACATATACTCAAAATGTTCTTCCCAACTATAGTTTCTCTAATAAATATTTTTGCATAGGCTACGTCTACCTGGGTTAAGGTGCTAATAAGATTAACTTTTTGTTGGAATTGCTGGTCATTTTAGGAAAAGCTAAATAAAATGAACAATTTGGTCAGATATGCCTGTTTTATTTTCCTGCCTTTAACTTTTGGATATAAGTTACAGAATTGGCTTTGTTGATTCTGAGCTATAGAATCCACTCTACGTGATTTAAACATAAAGGAGGATTTTGTGATAAGGTCTCTGAGCATTGGGGAAGCAAGCAGTCAGGCCTCAGGAGTGGAAGACTGGATGAGGAGCTGAGGTGGACACCCCCAGCCTTTAGACACATGGGCTTTGCTTATGCTGCATGGCTTCTTCACCCTCCCTTCTCTCTGCAAAGTGGTTTTCTCAGATTCCCCTAATGCATGTCACCAAACAGGTTGTCTTCAGGGCTGCCACCAGCCCATATGGCACTCACACATCAATTAGAAATAGGTTTCCTTCTCAATACACTTTGATTCCATCCGTCAGAAAATTGTCATAATATATTGATTTTGTAGTAACAAGACTCTTCACTGCTGGAACAACGTCAAAATGAACATTCAGAATTCTAACAACTACAACCTGAATGGTGCCCCCTTAGGTGTGATGTCCTGACACAGGGCACAGCCTGCTCTACTGTGTGCAGTGCCCTGGCTGCCCTAGCCCTTAAGTCAACCCCAACAAAGAAAAGGAAGGATAAGCAGGAGAGAGCACATTATTGACTCAGCGTGAGTCTGACTGGCACCCTGAATGCGCATCTAGAGAGAGTAGGTGTGGTCAGATACAAACATGACTGCCAGGTGGAATGACCAACCATCACAGTTTGTGTCAGACTGAGGGATTTTACAGATTTGATTAGGATTTTCATAAATTACATTAGGATTTTGATAGATTTGGTAGAGGTAAGAGCTAAGACTGGGTACGTTCTGGGCAAACCAGGCAAGTTGGTCATCCTACAGTGAGGGTCAACTCTTCAAAGTGGGTACAGCTCTCAACAAGAAGTGTGAGAAGACACCCCAAGAGGATATAGTATATATCATATGTATTACTGTTTGGGGTTGAATTATAATAGTTGCTTTGTTATTTTGACATTGTGGAGGCTTAGTCCTGCAGGAATTTTATTTCATTTGGCCCAACAATGCTATCGCAAAATATCATGGTAATCTTCATTTGGGTACACTGGGCTATGTATCACAGTGCTATTTCTTTTCTGTTCAAATTCTATTCCAGCAAAGAAATTATTGTTCTATATTAAATTTGTTTTTTTTTTCCAGTCTTGACATTTTGCTTAGGTTAATGTTACCATTGTTTTTCTTAGGAAGTTTTTGAAATGTTCTATTTAGGAAAAAAAAAAACTTTGGAAAGAAAAATATATATTTGTAAACTGGATTGCATAATTTGTTATTGTTTTCAATGAGGGTGGATATTTATACATGACATCCAGATAAATATTTAAACATTTGTTTCCTTAAATTAATGTTTTTATCCATTCTGGTATTCGACACATAAGAGATAAAAGAGATGGAGCAGGGTTCTCTATTTGTAGAAGGGCAAAGAAGGGTTATCCTTAGAGCTCTACTTCCCAACAAAAAGAAACTTGAGATTTATAATTGCTATCTTTGCATAAAACAAAGAAAATTTCTTATTTCAATTAAAATTACCTTCACATTAGATCTTAATCTATAACTTACTTCAAGTCCTATTGGAAGAGAAATGATCAGAAATCTTAAATGCCTACTGAGGAATGTAATTGACCTGACATTAAATTTTAGAAGGGGAAATACATTTGGTAATTAAAACAAGAGTCTAAAATTCAGTTCCTTTTGAGGGACAAGGCAAATCATTGAGGGGAGGAAAGTAGAGACTGAGAGAAAAACGGAAGGAAAAAAGAGTGATTGTGGGCAAAGTGAGAAGGTCATTGTCACTGGTGGAGGGGAAAAGATAGTGAGGGACCAGTGAAGAGAAGAATGGAGATGAGAGTAAAGATCCAATCAAGATGTTCTGAATTAACTGATATAAGCAGCTCAGCAAAACTGGCTCTGAAACAAGACAGAGATAGAGCCAATCCCAGTCCCACTATGCACCAGTGTGTGACTAGCTTCCTTCCCTTCCCTGAGCTTAATTATTCCATCTATAAAACAAAGATGATATTGTTTATCCAGTGGGGATGTTGTAGGGCTGGACATGTCATGCTTGAAGATCTTGGCATGTAATTGTTGCTTTACTAAGCAACAATTATTTTATTACTGTCATGCTTTATTTTTTGCTTTAGAGTGTTGTCTTTGCAATGTTAATTATATGATGAACTGTTGCCTTTTCAAATTTAATATAATTCAAGTAATTGTTTATGGAAGCTAGATGTCCTGCTAGGTACTAGAGATATAAAGATAAAATATTGTCCCTAACCTTAAGATCTCAGAATCCCAGCACAAGGAGAGAAGTTCACAAATAGAGTTGTGTTCTAGGCACAAGTGGTTAACTGGCTACAGTGGCTTGGAGAAGGCTTCTTTAAACCCTGGGATGAGTCTTAAGAGTGTTTTTAAAACTTTTATGGGCATACAAATTACCTACGAATCCTGTTACACTGTTAATTTTGAGTCTGTAGCCTAGGGTATGTCCTGAGATTCTGAGTTTATAAGAAGTTCCAAGATGATGTCAAGATTGCTGGTCAGCTGACCACACATTGAGTAGCAAGTAAAGAAGTGGTTCTTAACCACACCAGCATGTTAGTATCACATGGGAAATATTTTTTAAATGTTACTGATGCTCAGCTACCACTTCTGAAATCGTTTGTTTTCACTGGTCTAGGGAGGGGCCCAGGGAGTCTTAGTTCTAACAGGCTCCCAGGTGATTCTCATGTGAGCCAGGATTGACTCCACTGCTTTAAAGGATGAGCTGGGACTTGCCAGGACACCTTGGCAAGGGAGATTGCTTTGCAGAAAGGAAGAACAGCATGTGGAAAAAACATGGATGTGTGGATCCAAATGGCATATTTAGGGTATTCGCCTGTCATTCAGTTTGAAGTTATGACGAGCAAAAGATGTGGGGTGGTGGTAAGAGATGAGATTGGGTGGCCAAATTATATACTTGCCTTTCAAAAAATATCTATATATATTATCATTGTGGTAAAATATATAAAAAATGAAATTTGCAACTATAACCATTTTTATGTGTACAATTCAGTGGCAATAAGTACAATGTTATATAACTGTCACCACTATCTACTTCCAAAACTTTTTCATCACCTCACACAGAAACTCTGTAATCATTCAGAGTTAAGTCCACATTTCTCCTCCCCTGGTAACCTGTATTCTACTTTCTGTCTCTATTTATTTGCCTGTTATTGATACTGCATATAAATAAAACCACACAAATATGTCCTTTTCTGTCTGGCTTATTTTACTTAGCATAATGTTTTAAAGTTTCATCCATATTGTAGCATATATCAGCACTGCATTCCCGTTTATGGCTGAATAATATTCTGTGGTATGGATATACCACATTTTGTTTATCCATTCATCTGTTGATGGACACTTGGGTTGTTTCCACCTTTTGGTAATTGTGAATAATGCTATGGCCATTCAATCCTAGTTACAGATCAGAATAACATGTAGAACTTTAAAAAATTACTGCTGTCTGGGCCTTACTTTAGATCAACCAAACTCAACTCTGGGAATAAAAATCAGATGTGGTTGCTGTGGCTTTAAACCTTCCCAAGAGATTCTATTGTGCAGCTAGAAATGTGAACTGCTGATTTGATTTACATAAGGCGAGCTGAATACAAGTCCCAGGTGCAATTTCTTTAAGGGTTAATTTATTTAAGATTCACGTACAGAACAATCACATGGAGGGCTTCTTGAGAAGGCCTAGACCTAGTTCTCAGACTGAAGATTTTGATTTACTAGGTCTTTGATAGGCCTTAGGAATCCTGATGTAGTCATATGGTTATGCTTTGTGGCCCCACCCAAATCTCTTCTGAATTGTAATTCCCAGGTGTTTAGGGAGAGACCTGGTGGGAAGCGATTGGATTAAGGGGGCAGTTTCCCCCATGCTTTTCTCATGATGGTGAGTTCTCACAAGATCTGATAGTTTTATAAGGACAGTTTTCTCTGCCCTTGCGAGCTCTCTCTTTCCTGCTGCCATGTGAAGAAAGTCCTTGCTTCCCCTTTCACCTTCCACCATGATTGTAAGTTTCCTGAGGCCTCCCCAGTCATGTCAATCTGTGAGTCAATTAAACCTGTTTTCTTTATAAATTACCCAGTCTCTGGCAGTTCTTTATAGCTGTGTGAAAATGGACTAATACATGTAGCTATCCTGGAACTCTAGTTTGAAGAACACTAACTTCCAGACTATTTAGCTTGACACAGAGAAACTGCATATCTTTGTTACATTCTGATAACCATACTATCTTGGCATCTCTAATTGCAAGGAGCCATTTGTCATAGGAGAAGCTGAGTGAAAGCCTAGAGATGGTTCAGAAAATCTGTTCACTGTTATGGAGAAATAATTTGGACCAACTGAAATGTCAACTATACAATACTTGATATAATAGGGATACTAGGGATACATCAGTAGAGAAGAATCCTGGGACTCCCTTTCTTACTTTGCTCTTTTTTGAGTTCTGTCCTTTATTGCATGAATTAGTCCTCAAAGAACTTTTTGTCTAGACTGTATCTACTAATGACTTTTTTAAAAAGAGGTAAGCATCAATGTCTTACTTTTTCTCTAACACTCTATATTGTGTTTGTGTCAGAAATGCATACAGTATAGTGACTTTCATCAAGTTGTTCCTGGATCCACTTGGCTGATGTTTATTTCATAAGGTAATATTTTAGATCATAATACTTTAACCCTGAAACAGAGATATTTAACTTTTTTAGAATTAAAACATTTCTTTTTATATATTTTGTTGTCTCTAGTCACGCTTTCAGGAGTGCTGATCAATTATCCCACACCTAGAAGCCCACATAATTGAGTGACAATGCATTTTTCACGTTCTCACATTCACTACAATAAAAAAGCTTTCAAACTTATTCAACCTTCTTCTGTGTTACTGCATGGCAGGGTTATTGGTATTTGATGTGTCAGACATGAGGAAAATTCTGTCTTTCCAAGCATGGACAGAAATGCACTTAAGTGTAAAATTATGAAGGGTGTAATTTTGCACTCAAACTTCAATTACAATAATTCTTTCAATTAACATGCCCTGTTTCTTGTTTGCTTGGGCCCTTAAATCTGACAGTCTTCTCTTTCCATAAGAGAACACATAGAATTTTACCTAAATACAGCTTGGAGAGAAAAGTGCAGTTGGCAGTTTTATTATTCTTTCTTATTTTTATTACTCTCTAAGTTTAACTCTTGTATTTTGACAGCTTTCAAAAAAGTATTCACAAGACTTTGCTGTATTCCAAGAATGACAAGTTCATGGAGAAATTTGACTGCTTTGTCAAAGCTGGGTCACATAAGCACATGACCCTTTTTGAGGACTTCGTAGGGCAGAGACAGAAAGGTAGTTACCTGACAACTTCAATGGGTGAGTATGAAGCCCTCTCCCTGTGGTCTCTAAAGTCGGGGTACCATATATTCTGGATTTGGGGGTCCAGTCTTAGGTTGAGAATCTGTAGCAGCCCGTATATTCTCCTGACTAGGCCCAGGAGAGCTTAAATGTTGAGATATGTAGGTAGGTTATCTGCCATATTTGGGGATTAAAACCAACCAAAAATATACCTCTAAAAGGACCTGGACCTCTTTGAGGGTCTTCTAGGCAAATCCTAGCAAAATGATGGTGGGCCCAAAACAATTTCTTAAGAGGAATGATGAATGAATTATGGATGCTTCACCAAGAGGGGGAAAAGACTCAGTAGGGGACCCATTAGCTGACTCCAATGGTTTGGAAGAATGCCAGGTGTTGCTGTCCATGTGATGAGCCAGCACACAGGCTCTTTTGATCATGACAGAACCCTCAGCACCTTGAGCTGATTTTTATTGTTTGGAAGTGGGTTTAGTCTCTGGGATTGATGAGTAGGGTTGCCATACAGCACTTTCCCTGGAATTCAGCCAGCAGCTTGAATCCAGCTATGGCATCATTGTCCTGGCATTTGGTTTCAAACAATAGCATTCTATAAAAAAGTATTTAATTTAAAACTAGAGGAAAGATCTTTACTGTTTTTCTCTTGGCTAATGGGAACTTCTTGTCAAAGCAATAAATGCTGAAAAATTATTAAATTTTAAATTAATAAGGCCATAGGAAAGGTATCTGCCCAGTGGGGATTTCCAGCACAGTCTCAGACAAGGCCTGCCTCACTGTTCCAGCAAGTTTTCAGCAGACTCAGTGACCTTTTCCTAAGACCCTCTGCAATCCATGGGGTGCTTGGTAGAAATTTGTACCTCCATGCTTGTCAAACTACAGCCATTCAGTGAATATAATGGATGGTACAATAAAATAAATTATTTAAATAGTAGTAATAGAACAAAAAGCACTGTATGTTTTTGGGGATACAATATCATTGCTGGAATAAGCAATTCCTTGAGCAGTAACTAATGCTAATGGGAAGACACTATGGCTGCATGTCATTCTCGGAGTTACTCTGATTCTGAGGTTCAAAGCTACTATTGTACAATCTGGGACTTTTACTGGTCTGCAAGTCTTAGTCTTCAGGGTACCTACACTCAGAAATCAAGTAACCTCCTTTTGTCTCTGTTAGAACTTTCTCATGCAAGCTTAGTATGTTTCATTTCATGAGTAATTGACTCGAGAATATGATTGTGACTTGCTATAGTCCTTCTTGTCACCTGGGCAGAAGCCTGCAAAGGGATAATATCCTAATGGATTCACCCTTATTGAAAGTCAGGTTTTCAGTACTACAGTTCCAAACAGCAGTCCTTATTTTTTCCGCAGAAGAGTGCTACGAATCAAACGCATAACAAAATGATTTATAAACCAGAAAATTAATTTCCATGAAAGTTCAAACCACCTCCTTGGACCGGAGAGTCATTTTCTTAGATTGCACATCCTGTCTCATTAGGCAAATCTACATGGGAAGGCACTTGGTAATCCGAGGGTCACTTTGTGACTAGGTCATCAAAGTAGAATGATATTTATCATTTAATGGCATCAAGAAAAAGTAGTTAACACTTATTGAATGCTTACTATGTATTAGGTACCTCTTGCAGGATCATGATTCACCTCTGTGTTCTTTATGCATTAGGCAGTGTTCTAAACATTTTTACATATTAACTTATTTTATTATCCATTATGTCAGTATTATTATCATCACCCCCATCTTACAGATAAGAAAACAAGCCCAGAGGGGTTAGGTAACTTGTCTAAAGTCACTGGTAAGTGGTAGAACTGGGATTTGAACATAGACTTAACCCCCATTTTTACCCAATACACTCCCTCTGCTCCTTGGGGATGCATCTAATACACTTTCATTCACTGATCAATGGGCCTCTCCTCCCAGGTGAGTAACAAGAACTCTGAAAACGTTGCCTCTCACACTCATTTTCTGGATTTCCAAGCTGCTGATCCCATAGTGTTAACACATGCTTTCTTAGAAAATGTTAACACCACTGATTGGTCATTGCCAAGATCTGATCTTGTTGCTTTCAATTTGAGCCATATCTCTCAAGGTGACTTTTCGCGTATCAGATCTCACTTACCTTGTGCTGACTATTAGTCTACCTCCTGGAACCCTGGGAATGCCCCTCTAACAGTATGGTCCACACTGTATTACCTACAGTTATGTTCAAAAGTGTCAGGAAAACATGCACACAGTGAAACACATTGATCAAAAGTTAAAAGGGAAGAGACAGCGTAGAAAAAATTTATTTCTAATTGGAAGAAATAGGACTAACATTCTCAAAATAATTAGAAAACCAGTAAACGCTAAACCACATGGCTCAATAGGTATTTAGGGAAAGGAAAGAGCTGCACCTTTCTTTTCAGGGATACAAATTTTTGTTTAATGTGTCTTAGAAATTTGGGAAGATACTCTTAACTCTCAAAAAATCAGCCCTTAGAGGCACAGCAGGTAATTAGGTTCCACCTAAGGTTTGAGATCTCCTAGATTTTAACCTTAAACATTTAGCCCATATGCCATTTTAACAAATCATAACAGTCCTTATAGACAGTCCTGGACTCTTTGCGAATATGATCTGTCAATGCGCTTTCTTTTTATTTAACTTTTTCTGAGCACCATGCTCTGCAGCACATGGCTAGTAAGAAGCAGTTACTGAAATCTGAGAACTATCAAAGAGGTGGAGAAAGAAATGGGGGTACAAACCGTACATAAGCCAAAGAGACAGCTTACAATTATTCCTTCACTTCTCTGAGAAAAAAAAAATAGCACACATCAGTGGAACAGGCACTTGCAATGACAGAATTCTGTCAATAACAATTGGTGGAGTGTGTTCTATTTGCTCATCAATGCACTTTTTGATAACCAGAGTCCATAGCTGTGCTTACACAATGGCAAACATATTGCTCATTCTTAACAGCCAGGGGCTTCCAAACATCTCAATATTTATTATAACACATGAAGAAAAAGAATTTTCAATGTCTTTCTCATATTTTATTAGAAGGTTTTGACATTGTGAAGGCAATATCTGAATCTATGTTGTGTGACTCAATGGCTTGTATACATTAAATATTCCATTTGAAGGCTCCATAGCAAGCTAACTTTGCTTATTCCTGGAATTATTGTGCAATTACTGTGGTACTTAACTACAGCTAGATGTTTTAAGTATAGGTTAGTGCAAATGTAATTGCGGTTTTTGCATTTGTACTAACCTAATAGTTAGCCGTAAAAGGTAAAACAGGTATTTTAAACACATTTAAATCATCTAAATATTCCTATTGGAAGAAGAAATGACCATATTACAAATCAGAAGTAATATCATCCTTCAGAGAGAATTTATGATTAAATACACTTTAATACATAGAACAACTGAACAGCACAGAAAAGAAGTAACTGGAGCGCAGCAATGATATTTAGCCTGTATATTCTCACTGGTTGCTATTAAGTCCTGATTTGTTGGCTCTGTTCTGATTAGTGAGTGTCTGGTTCTGGTTGGTTGATTCCTTTCAATTGTTAAATATTTGGATTGATTTCTGATTTCTGAAGCAATTGTTAACGATTTTGAATATCATCTCTACTTGAAGATATACTATAATACCATAGAGCCAACAAACTCCAAATTATCAAAGGGTTGTTATAAAGCAACACTTTCTCTAGCAATAAAAAGGCACACTTGGATATATTTATATTCTAAAATAGGTATCATAGAATAAATACCACAATGAAAGTCACACAGTGGGAAAATAAGTTGTAAACTTAAAATCAATGGCTTATGTATAATGATAAACACACAGATTTACTATGTGCTAACCACTGTTTTAAGCACTTTACATATCTTGGCCCATTTACTTTTCAAAGCAACTCCATGGGATAGGTTTTATTATTATCATCTTTATACAGATGAGAAAATTGAGGCACAGAGTGATTGAACAACTTACATGAACTTACTAACCAATAAGGGGCAGAGACTAAGTTCAAATCCAGGAGTTTGGCTCCAGAGCTATGCTTTCAACACCTATTCTCTCTGTCTCCTTTAAAAAGATATGTAGAATTCAAATAAACATACAAGTTAATAAGTGTTCAAAAGCGATAAAGACCCTTTCAAGGGGCTGGAGTCCGTGTCCTGACTGCAAGTTGTAAAAACAGTCTACAACCTTGCAGTGATTAATTGCGAAAGAGATGAATAGAGAGTTAATACATGAAGAAATAAATTCAGTAAATAATTACATTAAAACCCCAATCTTTGTTGAGATTAGAGAAATAAGAATTAACTCATTCAATAAATGTCTCAAATTAGCAAAAATGAATAAATATGAAGAAGCTGAATTTCATCAGGGCTATGAGAAGGCAGGCTCACGTCCAATGGCTGTTGCCGTAAAAAATTGACTAAAGCTTTCTGGAGAACCATTTGGAAGTAGGTTATGAGAGCTTCTGAACAAGAGTTTATTTTTCTTTCATGCAGGAATTCCAGTTTAGGAAAAAAATGCCTCAAAGAGAATAACCCAAGGATGACATAAATGAGTGCTATCTTACAAAGATGTTTGTATCATTGATGTATACAATGGCAGGATTTTATAGTGCCTGAGATGCACTACAAAAGGGGAAGAGCTAGACAAGCTGTGGTATGTTAAGAATTCAGAACGTCATTCTTATTAAAATAGTAAAATAAAAATTTGTGAGATTTATCCATATGTAGAAATATATAAGTGAAAAAAATGAATCTGAAGATGAAATACACACACTGATGGCAACTATGGAAAAACACATATGCATTATTTGTTTAAGGCCTCGGAAAGAAAGGGATGGATGTAAGAATTGAGTATTGGTGTGTGTTTGCCTCTTTATTAATCTTATGTTACTTAGATTCTCATTGGCTTGCTCTCTTGTGTGTGACAAAACAAGTAAATGAAATAAGGAAACACATTTCTGAAATGAACTCATTTTATCTAAACTAAATTACTCTCTCTGTCTCTGATACGATCCTATATGGAGCTGCCTGGGAACCCTATCTGATAGCAAACATCAGGATAGGGCACATGAGGAAGAAAAAAGGAGAAGTCAATGCATGTAAGGTCAGGAAAAATAGTCTGAGCATTCATCATACTTGGCAGAAACATACATGCAAGAACAACCCCACCCATAACTAGTCACAAATGGTCTGCCAAATGAAAGACTAAAATAGCAGCATATGTTGGAAATCTTGCTGTCTTTATGATATGCAGAGAGACATTTTCTTTCATACATTTCTTTCTTTTATGCTGCTGAGATCCAGCCTGCCATTTGCTGTGATGTCTTTCAGACTTTTTCTGGGCAAATTTTCGACTTTCTTCTCACCCTGCATAGTGATCTTCAGCATCCAGGCTGAATGTGTCTGTTTGATATTTCAAAAATATACGTGGTCCACCAGAGCCTCTATTTCCATTTAGTTTCCTCCAAACTCCTCACCACCACCACCATCATTTACCATTTACTGAATATTCTACATGTAGTCACATTTGCTTCAGTTAGTGTCATTATGAATATTAAAAATAGAGTTTTGAAAGAAAACACATATACCCCTCTGTGCTGTACCTTCCTCCAAAAAGCACAACGCTGCATAATTTCTCAGATGCAAACTCCATTTTCATCTTGCCAGCAATTTGGCGGTTCTCAAAAGGTTACTGCTCTGAATTTGTTTTCTTTGTAGTCTTGCAGTCCATTTGTTCTGCCTTAATGCTGAAAATCTATGTGGGATCTCGACCTCCATATGCCATACACCAGTAGATTTACCCTTTTCTTTAAAATTTTCCTCTACATTAACATAAGAAGAAGAATGTGTTTCATGATTTGTTAAATTGGCATATGGGCTAAATGTTTAAGGTTAAAATCTAGGAGATCTCAAACCTTAGGTGGAACCTAATTACCTGCTGTGCCTCTAAGGGCTGATTTTTTGAGAGTTAAGAGTATCTTCCCAAATTTCTAAGACACATTAAACAAAAATTTGCATCCCTGAAAAGAAAGGTGCAGTTAATCTACCCGGCCAGTTAGTGACCTTGCCCTAAAGGTAATTCCACCTCAACTTTAATGACCACATAAAAAGGAATGAGCCAAAGTCATAAGCCAAAACCAAAAAAGTAAAAGCTGGTCCTACATACAAAATAATGGGGAGATAAGCACTTAAGTGAAAAGTAAACTTGCTCTATGTCTGGCTGTTTCCTGTGTGTTTCCTACGCATGTGACCATTTTCTACACATTTATGTGTTGTGTTTTCCCATGTGTTTATCTTGGTGCCAAGGTTATTAAGGCAAGTTCCCCAACCTCAAGAGATTTATTTCTAATTGGAAGAAATAGGACTAACACTCTCAAAATAATTAGAAAACCAGTAAATGCTAAAACACATGGCTCAATAGGTATTTAGGGAAAGGAGAGGGCTGCTGAGCTGGAGAAGTAGGGATGTTTCATAGAGGAAGCAGAGTGAGAGGTGGGCAGTGGAGAATAGGAAAGACAGAGATGAGCAAAGAGGAGATGAGAGGAAGATAGGCTGGTGCATAGTGATGGTGTTACAGGAAAGGGGTCTGATCCAGACCCCAAGACAGGGTTCCTGAACCTTGCGCAAGAAAGAATTCAGAGTGAGTTCCATAAAGTGAAAGCAAGTTTATTAAGAAAGTGGAAGAATAAAAGAATGGCTACTCCATAGACAGAGCAGCCCCAAGGGTTGCTGGTTACCCATTTTTATGGTTATTTCTTGATTATTTGCTAAACAAGGGGTGGATTATTCATGGCTCCCCTTTTTAGACCATGTAGGGTAACTTCCTGATGTTGCTATGGCATTCGTAAACTGTCATGGTGCTGGTGGGGGTGTAGCAGTGAGCATGACCAGAGGTCGCTCTCATCGTCATCTTGGTTTTGGTAGGTTTTAGCTGGCTTCTTTACTGCAACCTGTTTTATCAGCAAGGTGTTATGACCTGTATCTTGTGCTAACATCCTATCTCATCCTGTGACTTAGAATGCCTTAACTGTCCGGGAATGCAGCCCAGTAGGTCTCAGCCTCATTTCACCCAGCTCCTATTCAAGACAGAGTTGCTCTGGTTCACAGGCCTCCGACAATGGAGTACCAGGTAGAGGGACAGCGGGGGCACAAGCCCAAGGGAAGAAAGAAGAAGGTAAATGTTGAGGTGGGCCTAGCTGTATAGAAGATCCAGGTAGGGAATGTGGCTTCATAAGGATGGGTGATGGAGGGCTGGACTCAGTGTGGTAGGCACTGGGGAGAGTGGTTGGGGCTTTCTAAGGGAAAATGGTACTCTAGGAAGAATAGTCTGGTAGTGGCTGGAGGCTGGTGAGTACAGAGATTAACGCTAGAAAGCTGCTCCCCTTATTCTGGAAGGTATGAGTTCAAAGAATGCTATTTTCTTGGAGAAAAAGAACAAAGGGGAAGTTTGAGAAACGCTTCAAAGAGGGAAAGAGAAAACTTGATGAAATCTTTAGCTCATAGCGGTTATATCTTGGGAATAAGGTGAGAGAGCAGATGGTATTGGAGATTTTGCATTTGATCTTATACACTGCATACAGTTCAGGATAATTATACATATGTGAATGTATATGTATATACATGTATATGTCTATGTGTGTGTATATGTATATATAAACATGTGTGTATATGTATATGTATAAACATATATGCATATATATTACTTTTAAACAAAGGTCATACATTATTTTTTATAGCAAATTTAAAAAATGTAATCATAAGATTTCGGGAAGACTTCAAAAATAATGACACTACTAACAAATGGGTTAACTGTAAGAAGAAGCTGGCCTCCTTTCTGGCAGGTGTATCTGGCATTAGTGCGCGCATGCACACACGCACACACACGCTCCTCTAGGTCTGATGTGCTCATCATGCATGTCCTTATTTCACCACTTTCTGCCTCTTGGATCCTTATGCTTTGTGGGCCTGGAGCTGTTTTGCCTCCTGCTCCCTTCCCTGATGTCTCTGCCACTCTATCTCTGATTTCTGTATGCCAGAAAGATCTGGCTTTTGCTGCTGCTACTTCTCAACTGTCAGGGTCTCCATGAAGATATTCTGCTGAGTCTCTCTTGAGTTTCTTCAGTCTGAAGTTACCACTTTCCTTCACATCCTACCAGAGGCGTGTGGACTACTCTGCGATCAATCTTCCACACTTGTCCAACTCAGTGAACCTGACTTGCAGTCAAAAGTGATCCACTGCTGGTGGGTTGGCTCAATGCCAGGACTTTGTTGACTGCAGCCTGGGGTGGATTAATGTTCAAGGAGTTCACATTCACTAACAAACAATCAGGCTTTCCAACTGATTTCATAATTTATAGAAGGGATGGCCCTGCCCCTGTAATATACGGCAGTGGCTTCATACATATGAATTAAGAGGCTACATACAAATCAAGCCCTAGAACCTTTAGAGGCTGCATATGTGCCAGCCGGTCAGGGGAGCTTGTGATACAATCAGTAAACAGTGAAGAGGCCAGCATTCTTTATCTAAACTCCAATATGCACACATGGCCTTGCATTAAGAAGGCTTTGGGGAGAATATACCACATTTTATGAGAATGGACATAGGGGTGGAGAAAAAAAGTGGTTGGAAGTGGTGATTTGGCCAATGATGATTATAGAAGAGCAACTGTTTTCTTAAAATAAAGTTAAAGATCATAATACATGACCACAATAGATGCACAACAGAAGACAAGGTGCAGCGTCTTGTGTGTCACTTCTACAGATTTTGCTTTTGAAACTATTAGTTGTGTAATCCCTCGTACGGACTTTTTGTTTCCTGAAAGTTCTGTGCTTTTTGAGCGGAATAATGTACCTACCGTATAACAGGATTTTATCTAATGCTTTTTTCACCAATGC
The DNA here is from genome assembly GCF_000001405.40 of Homo sapiens. Taxonomy (NCBI): domain Eukaryota; kingdom Metazoa; phylum Chordata; class Mammalia; order Primates; family Hominidae; genus Homo; species Homo sapiens. Next base: position 204,483,281 of record NC_000002.12, on the reverse strand, counting down.
ATGCAAAAATAATTAAACTAAAAAAAAATCCCAAGAGCTTTAAAAATTATAACATAGTTTCCATATGAATTTGTAGGACAAGTACAATTTTAATTTTCCAAAAATGAAGCATTTAAATACAGCAAAATCTGTCACTTTTGAATAACTAATGAATGAATGTATTTTTTGTCCAAATCTTAAATATTTTGGCATCTTTAAAAAGACAAAAAATTTTTTAAAGTGAGATGAAAATCTATAATATTTCTGAGATTTTAAAAATAAAATCAGAATACTTGACAAAATCTTTTTAGTAATTTTATACTTTAGGAAATAATTTTGTCTCAAATAGTTGAGATGCCAGGAAATTCTAGGCACTGTACCAAGAGCTAGATGCCAAAGAAGTCATAAATAAGTCCTGCCCTCTTAGAGCTTATGTCCTAGGGGAGGAGACAGAAATCAAAAGTAAACACATACATTTGATAATGATAGAATATGACACTTGATATGAAGGCAATAAAGTGAGTGTTGTTGAGAAATCTCAGAAATAGGTGAGGGAGTGGTCAGTGAGAGCCTCTCTGAGGTGGTGATATTGGGACTGTGATTTAAAGCACGCAAATGAGCCAGCAATGTCCAGATGAAAGGAAGCATATTCCACGTGGAGGGAACAGCCAATTGCCTGGTGCTGAAGGTAGTGGAGTAAGGGCAGGAAGGGAGGCCCTGACCAGCTTTTGTGGGATCTTTTGGGCTACCATAAGAAATTTTCATTTTATTCTAAGTGCCAAAGAAAGTCATAGGAAGGTTTTTGAGTAGGAAGATGATCTGATCTGATCGACATGATCCCGTTTTCATTTTTAAGAGATCACTCTGGCTCCTTGAGGGAATTGGATTAGAGGGGGCAAGAGCTGGAATAGAGAGGCCCCAGGAGGTTACTGAGGTAGACTAAGGGAGAGAGGATGGTAGCTTGATGGAGTGGGAGATAGGAAGAAGGAGAGAAGTAGATGTGCTTGAGCACATTTGCAGATAAAACTAACAGGACTTGCATATGGACTGACATCCAGAAGAGAGGAGTCAAGGATGTCTCCTAGGTTTTCAGCTTTACCAATGATGCATAGTGGTGCTATGTACAGGGGTGGGAAGTCTGACAGAGGAACAGGCTTGTGGGAGAGGAGGAGGAGGATCAGGAGCTCTGTTTTGAATCTAGCCTGAGATTCTTAGTTAACATCCAAGTGAAGATGTTAAACAGGTAGTTGGATATGGAGTTCAGAGTAGTCTGTGTTTGAAATATAAATATGGAGACCACCAGCATGCAGATATAAAGCCAAAGGTCAGAATGAGGTTATCTAAGGACAGTGGGTACATAGACAAGAAGACCTAAAACAATCCAAAAAAGGAAAGGTAGGTAGAGAAATCTCCAGAAAAGGCATAAACTGGAAGATAGAAAACCATGCGTGTACAGTGTTCTGGACACAGGAGGGAAGAGTGATCATCTGTATGAAATACTGCTGAGAATTCAAGTAAGATGAAATCAGAGAAGCAGTCGTTGAATTTGGTAACCTCGAAAATACAATTTCAGTGAAGAGTGAAGCCAAATTGAAGAAGGTGAAGAATGAATGAGAGATGAAGCTATAGATGCAGCATGTGTAGCAACTCATTGGAGGAGTTTGGATCAAAGGAGAAACAGGAAAATAGGAAGTAGCAGGAAGGGGAATGATGAGGTCACAGAGGCTGCATTTTTTTTTTTTTTTTGCAAAGACTGCACATATTTAATACAGAATTGGCTAAATAAATCATGGTACTTCTACACGATGCAACTACATAGCTGTAGAACAGAAGGAGGAAGCCACGTATGAACTAAGATGAAATCATCTCCAACATGTCCTGTTAAGTGAAAAACACAAGTGCGGAACAATATGTGCAGGGTGCAAACTTTGTTTTTAAGGGGGAAAGAGGAATATACATATTTGTATGTTACTACACAGATGCATGAAGTATTTCAAGAAGGATAAACCAGAAGGTAAAAATGCTGGCTCTCTATAGGGAAGAGAATGAAGTAATTTGAGTACCTTGGGAAAGGCGGACTCGACTTTGTAAATCTTTTTGTACTTTTCAAAATTTGTAGGACATGAATGCCTTCCCTTTCAAATAAATTAAATAAACAAACAAACAAATAAAAGATAGTCTCAGCTAAAAGCTAAAAGTTTGAGTGATTGAGTAGAGAAAGAGACACAGTTTCATGGTGCAGGAAATTGAGATGATAAATAAGGAGCAAAGTCTGGTAGAAGTGGGAGGAGATACATACCAGAGCCCTGGTGGAAGCAGCCCACCAGGCTTCCTCCCACCAGACAGAAGCAGGGACACTTTCCTGCACAACAGAAGAGCATATAGGTTTGGATATTTGACAGTGGGAGGATGAGTGTGTTTTGTTTACTTGGTATTCATTCTGTGAGTGAAAGAAGGGGCATCAGCTAAGAGTTCAGGGGAATGGAAGAGGTGGGGAAAATTTAATGGTCTCAAAGGATGGGCTATCCTCCCTTGGGAAACAAAATACATGATATCTGGGTAAAAGTGGGGTGGTCACAAATGCAAAAAGAAAGTAGTTAGGTTAGTTACTTACTATTTTCCCAGTCACACTGAGCTGGCTAGGTGTATGTCCAAGGAAGAGAGGTGATTGGGGTTGTGAACCCAAAATCTATGAGGTCTCAATCAATTTAGAAAGTTTATTTTGACAAGGTTAAGGATGTGCCTGTGATACTGCCTCAGGAGGTCCTGACAATATGTACCCAAGATGACTGGGGTACAGCTTGCATTACACAGGGAGACATGAAGCATCAATCAATATGTGTAAGATGTACATTGGTTCAGTCAAGAAAGGTGGAACACTTTGACGTGGGGGTGGCTTCAGGTCACAAGTAGATAAGAGACAGACTTTCAGTGAAAATACAACTTACATGTGAGGCGGGCGGGTAGAGGAACAACCATTTATGCTTTAGTCTGGTTCAGTGAATCTACATTTTTACATAAACAATAAGGCAGAAGAAGTAGTCAGATATGCATTTGTCTCAGGTGAGCAGAGGGAGGACTTTCCCGCACCTGTGAAGAGGATAAGCTATTGATATTTTAGGGTAAAGATCTTGAGGTCCACAAGGAATGTCCTGTAGGTAAATTTTCAGGGAGGTATGTAGCTTTTTTAAAAAAATAATCTTTGTAGCTATCTTATTTAGGAACAAAATGGGAGGCAGGTCTGCCTGACAGAGTTCCCAGCTCGACTTTTCCCTTTGACTTAGTGATTTTGGGGGTCCCAAGATTTATTTTCCTTTCACAGGGTGTTACAATTCCAGCATGACTGAGGCCAAGCAGAGAAGTTGAGAATGTTTGCAAGAGAGTGATTCGAAGGAACTTCGGAATTTAGCTGGATAAATTGGAGAGTGAAGACCAGGATAGGCAGATATGGATATAGATAGTTAAAAATAGGTGGTTTCCACAGATTAGGGGGTTTCCAGTACATGGATGAATCATTGCAATGGTGTGGGGGAGGGGGGAAGGGAGTTCAAAAGGAAGTGAGCTGGAAGGGCAAGAAATGGCATCTAAGAATGAGATGTGAAGCAATGACAGGCAGCATAGATCAGAACACACCAGGGGACGAGGTAGCTGAGAAGGATGGAGTAGCATGTTGGGGAGATGGAGAGGCACCACCACGAATAGACTGAGCTGTGGAATGAGTCCCTGGGATGAAACAACAGCCTGTGGAGAGCTGGAGAGCCAAACAGTGATCCGAGTGCTAGGGGACTTAGTGAAGGTGAGGATGGGGGGGTGGGGACTGCCGAACAGCTGATGAAGTGCAGTGGAAGTCATGAGTTTCCTCTGAACTGGAGTACTTAAAGGAAGAAAGGGAAAGGGGTTGGAAGACACATGGTGGAAAAAAGACCTAAGGAGTGGCATATAAGAAAAAATAAAAAGCACAACGGCCTCCACTTGTGGGGACTGTAGCAGAAACACGGCCCTCAGAAGAAAGTAAGACAAAAAGGGTTCAGGAGCAGTGAGAAGAGTTGCAGGATGCAGAGGCATTTCCTGAGCAGGCAGGCATGCCAGAGTGCACAGTGATATGTAACTGATATACATCTCTTACCTTCTTTAACCTCGTCTCTTTTTCATCCAGCCAAACGTCTACACCTTTGCACCTGGAGCTAAGACTCTTATCTTTTGACCTCTATCCCCTGGCTCGTTACAAATTCAGAGATGGGCCAAGTGGGGACCAGCCATGGCTCCATCTTAGTTTATAAGGTTTGGAGGACATTACCTGCAACTCTGAGTGTTCCTGGTGGTGACAGAGTATAGCCCCAGGAAAAGAGATTCCATGCTAGCCACATAAGGCAAGGATTATAGCAACTGACTGTAGCCAGAAGTTGAACATACAGTTCTCATATGCAAGCAGGTAGAGCAAACCTGCCCTGCATACCTAGGCCTCTGCCTGTGCACAGAGATAATGAATGCACACAGGCAGTGTAGACTACAAGTGGCATGGGACTGGAATTGGAAATGATAAATGGAAAGAAGAAATGACGTCAAATAATTGTTCAGCAATTTTAAAAGCAGAAGGATGAAACAAGGAAGAACCTGGTCACCCATTTCTGAAGTGGTGGGATCCATAGTTGATAAGGCTTCAAGCTGGGCATGAGGGTGTTTGCCCTTAGAAAAAAAGAGCCATAGGAGGTCACTGTAGGATGCCTTGGGTCTTTTGCACACATATCCTAGCAACCTGAGGCACTGAAGAAAGTTACCCGAGGAGCCCCAAGCATCAGGATTTCCACCACTGGGGAATTTTATTTTAGAGAGCTTGAGGGCTGAGTTACCTAAGCAGCCCTTAGAGCTAACCCTCTCTGCTTGAGGCACTGCGAGAACTAGGGGGCCTTTAAAAACTTTCCACTCAGCATGGCCAATTTAGCAAGTCTTTAATTTTTTTTTTTTTAATTAGCTGAGCATTGTGGTTTGCACCTGTTGTCCCAGGTACTCGGAAGGCTGAGGCAAGAGGGTCCTTTGAACACAGGAGTTTGAGGCTGCAGTGAGTTATGATCGCACCACAGCACTCCAGTCTGAGTAACAGAGCAAGACCATGTCTCTGAGAAGAAAACAAAAAACTTACTACCTGTTCCTCCTTTTTCTGTACCCCCAAACTCTGCAACTGTAATAAAATCCCAAAGAGACCTTAATACCAAGCCATCACTTGCTTTATCACTCACTTCATTAACTTGCATGTATTTCAATCTGAGTAAATCAAGTGACTTTGCTCAGTCTCTCACAATTTCTGGTTATAGCTACTAGCTATAACCTCTAGTATACAAGGTTCTCAGTTCAGTCTGTTTATGGGCCATCTGGCGTTCTTGCATTTCAAGATCAAAGACTCACCTATAACTCTGACCAACTCTAGACAACTTTAAGCCCAAGCAGAACAATATCAGAGAGTCTTGTTCATACTTGTTGCTCAACAAGGGCTGTTTTTCTTCATCCACTACCATGGCCTCACCAATCTCGGGGCATTCCTATGAGCAGTTTGGCATTTCCCTTCCTCCCTACTCTTTCTAAACCCCTTAATATTGCAAATAGATACACACACGTGGTTGAAGTTTTCTTCTCTTCCACTCTCAGCAATTAAGCAGCTAAAGCTGGAGGGATCAGAGAATTGGACTATCAGGATAAAACATAAGAGCAAAATCCAGGGTGAGGTGCTGACTCACAAGCACAAGTTAGAACTGAAAATATTTAAACAATTATTGAGGGAAGCTTTGGTTGGGGTAAGCCTGTAGGGTAGATTTGCCACCAAATAGTGTAGCACTAGCTCTTGATGGTTTGGAGAGAAGTGTTCTATCAATAGGTCAGAACATGTCAGGAATGGGGAGAAGAGAACGTACAGGACCAGACTTCTGCCACAGGCCCCAAACCCTCTGTTACTTTCTTTCTTTCTTTTTTTTTTTTTTTTTTTTGAGACAGAGTCTTGCTTTGTCGCCGAGGCTGGAGTGCAGTGGCGCGATCTCGGCTCACTGCAAGCTCCGCCTCCCAGGTTCATGCCATTCTCCTGCCTCAGCCTCCTTAGTGGCTGGGACTTCAGGCGCAAGCCACCACGCCCGGCTAATTTTTTTTTTTTTTTTTTTTTTTGGATTTTTAGTAGAGACGGGGTTTCACCGTGTTAGCCTGGATGGTCTCAATCTCCTGACCTCGTGATCCACCCGCCTCGGCCTCCCAAAGTGCTGGGATTACAGGCGTGAGCCACCGCGCCCGGCCTGTTACTTTCCTATAGAGCTGGAAGGTTAGACTTCTGCCACAGGCCCAAAAACATGTGGGAAAATCCCTGGCCTTGGGATACTCCTGTAAGAGAATGCCTTGTGTCATTTTGGTTTCTGTGGGCACCCTTCTGGTCCCACAATGATGGAATTTTGGTGCAACTGACTACACAAAGTATTGAATGGCAGAATCGCAGCTCGCTGCTAGGGATTGGCCATGTCAATTTTTCCAACCATGGCACAGGAGAAAGTGTAGCTTTTCCACAAAAGAGTGACATGATTAGCCTAAGAAACTGGTCATCTTCCAGGTCAAACAAAGGCTTTTTCCTTCGTTCGAGCACTTCCTTCAGGCAGAAGGATTTTTTAAAAATAAAACACAGCACAGTTTCATGGGAGGAAATTGACCCTTGCATCATTGCAATGTACTCAGCCAGCCACTGCAATGCTTGTCCAGAGAAGAACATGGAGGCACTGGGCTGGTGGGCAGCTTTTAGAGCGGACAAATCTAGCTAATCACAGCCACTAGACTATCCCTAGCCCAGCAGAAGTCTGTTCAGAGTAGGTGCTGCTTGAAAAACATTGCTTAGTCTCTTCCCAGTGCATGTAAAAATCCTAATTACTCACTATTCACTGTATTTTTTGTACGTTCATTCTCTCTGATTTGGCAAAACTGAAATATCATCGAGGTGACCATGATTTTCATTGGGAGGATATGTGGGTGGAAGGAATGTGTGTTGATTTCAGTTTGGAATATGCAGTAAACACAGCTTCCAACACAAAGACTCTAAATTAGGTCGTTGAATAAAAAAACATGGGATTCCCATTACAATCAACTAGAGCCCTACTTGTGCATCTATAACCAGGTAATAGTAGAATGGATTCCAGAATTAGCTCATTAGGCAGCTACCTCTTAGAACCCTTAATTTCCTGTTCAGTCTTCCCCTAGAATGTTGAGATTGTACAGCTGATAAAATCATGGGTCTCAGGCAGCAAAGACAAATGTGAAACTGAGTTTACTCAACCTATAAGCAGGTTGGCTTTCTTTATTTAAAAAAATCAGAAGAATCCAAGATAACTCCAGTGTAACTTTTTGGTACTTGACAGCCACGGAGCGTATTTTCCTTTTCCAGGAGTTAGAAGCGTCAAGTGGGGAAGTGAGGGAAATAACTGGATATTAAAGATTACCATAACCAAACCCATATTTCCCTCAAGACTGAAAAAGTAAAGTACCACTTAATAATACATGACACAACTTCTACCCTTGGCAAAGCAATATTTTAAACCTAAAATTATATTGTAATTAGCCTTTCAAAAATGTGAACACTTCAATATAGGAGTCCATTAATAATCTAACTGCTGCTGCAAAGCGCGTTCCTCCCACACGAGTAACTTAATTAAACTTACAGCTTCTCATTCCAACCGTCAGACCGTCATGAAAAACAGGTGGCTCCCAACTTCCAGATAATGGAAAGATGGATCTTGTGATGACTTTGCACACCCAGATGAAATTATCTAAATGTCTTCCTTGTTCTTTCTTCTGGCAATTTCTATTGCAAACACAGATTTGCTTCTACTCTACAGGATTTAAAGTTCAAGCACTACCTAGGATAATTCTAATGAAAATTAAATGTAGATTTATATAATCATCTGGGTCATTCCTTATATGAAGATCTAAAAAAAAAAAAAAAAGAAAACCCTCTGTTACTTTCTTACAGAGCTAGAAGGTTAGGTAAGTGCTAAGAATAATTACATCCTAGATGGTGTGATTTCAAGGACACTGACAGGATAGCAACTAAAGGCAACAACCTCTGTGAATCTTCTCTCACTTCTCTAAGGGCTACAGGCCAGGTATCATAAATTCAAAACCCTGCAGAAGGAGGCAAGTGGCTGGAATGGGTGAAGATGGCTGGATGTAAGGGTGGCACGGATGTGGTTAACTGGAGAGTGTGTGTCCTGTCTAGACGGGCAGTCTCCACTCGACTCCAGCAGATCCTTGTCTTGCCTTCAAGAGGGTTGAGTTACCGACTGAGTAGAAGAAGGAAATTCCAATTTGTAGGTTAAATCTTTTAATATTGCAAAAATTTGACAACTAATTTAATATTTTAAACTTTGAGTGGGCCAAACCAAATAATATAAGGGCCCAGGACCACCTTCAGAGACTGATGTGGATTAAGACTTCAATGTGTTTTCCCTCCTAAGAAGCGAGACAGTTTATCAGTCATCTGTGCCTTGCAGTATATCCATAATCTGAGAAGAAACCTTAAAGAGAGAAGGAGATATTCCACCAGTAAGTGGGGAAGGAGAGCATGGGAGGGTGCTAAACTCAGAAGTAAGTGGAGAGGAGGGTCTTTCACGATAAAAAGATAAATATCACCAGGAAATTGGAGACAAAAATTGCACAGAAAAGTGAGCTAAGGTCCACCTCTATGTTCTCACTGAGTAGGTTTGGCACCGTACTTGATAGTGTTGATTTTGAAGACAGGTGTCTGCACTCCCCTGGGCACTCCTGCCTCCATTGGCTTGCCTTAGTGTCCTCAGGCAATCCTCCCAATGAAAATCATGGTCACCTGGATGACATTTCAGTTTTGCCAAATCAGAGAGAATGAACGTACAAAAAAGACAGTGAATAGTGAGTAATTAGGATTTTTACATGCACTGGGAAGAGACTAAGGGATGTTTTTCAAGCAGCACCTACTCTGAACAGCCTTCTGCTGGGCCGGGGATAGTGTCCTTAGGACCCGAAATGCTGGGGGCTTTCCCTGAGTCTGGACAGAGTGCCAGAGTCAATCTCCTCTAGCCCCAAAGGAAAGAACAGCCTTCAGACAATAACGGGCGGAGGTTGGAGGATTGGTACTCCTGCTCCTCTGCGTTCAGTGGATCCCTCTACACTATCTCCCAGACTCTTCAGCACGGCATGAGTAAGCCCCCAGGGTCCACAGGTAACCTGTTCCATAAATGACCCATTACTCTCTCCTTTCCCTTCCCTGTCGTCTTTCCCCACTCCCCTCCTGATACTTCCTGGCATCATCTCCCAAACCACTTAAACTCTAATCTATGTCTCAAGTTCTGCTTCACAGGGAACCCAAATAAGACAAACAAAGGCCCATGAGAACATCTCCTGGAGGTCCTGCTCACCTAAGCTCACCTCAGGCCCGAGACGCCATTTTTATATGACGTAAGTACACAGTATTGTGTTCCCTTAACTACAAAACTGCGATAATTTTGTAAAAGCTGCCACTCCAAGCTCAAAGTATTGTTATGAGGATCAAATACTTAAATGTGCTTCACAGATTGTAAAGTTTCATACAAATGCCTTTTTTAATAACTTATTATTATTAAGATCAAATAATGATGCGTCTCCAGGAGCAAAGATGAGAGAGATAGCGGGGGAAAACGAGCAAGGTGAGGTGCTTTTCTGAACTGCTTAGTAAGTCTCCGAACATGAATATCTGGCTGGATATGGCGGCTTTTATGAGATGCCTTCAAATTTATGACACCACAACAAGGTGGATCAGTCCATCGAGGTGGTGCTATGGAGGCATGTACTATTTACAACGCATTTAATGTGTTTGGAAACTGAGTTATTATTCCCAGGACTGGGGGAAGATAAGAGTGGCTGACAGAAGGCATAAAACCACACCTTCGAAGAGAATTTCATCTGCGTAAACTACAGTGACTAATTCAAACAATGAAGTATTTAGTGCCTGTGACTATTTATAGTAGAAACTAATGGCTCTTTTATACCTGATTTAATGGCCATTTAAAAAGAAAAAGTGTAATAATAGGACAGTCAATGGAATAAGTGATATTTACAGATCAAATGATTAGCTATAGAAAGAGGGAGACATTTTTTCCTAGCACTTTCAACAGTTGAGTTAGACTTGAGCTGCAGTTGGAAATAACTTATTTTTGTTGACTAGACATGTATGTATCTGTGTGTGTGTGTGTGTGTGTGTGTGACACTGGATTAAACACTGCAGGCAGCAGGCATGTGCTTTTTGCCTTTTATAGCAGCTGAACTGCTTTTTAGAATTTTCTTTAGTAGATAGTGATTTCAGGTGATTCTCTTTTCTTTTCCCATGCTGCTAGGTATGCTTTTATTTTTCATGACCACACACATCCTTTTCAAGAGGAAAACCTTCAACAATTTCATCAACACTTAGATTTTTCACTGGCTGCACAACTTTCCCTTTGCTTTGATGGTTTTTAGCAAAGTATTTTATGTAAAAGGGAGTCTTGCTGAAGTATTTAAACATGAACGCCTCTTCGAGAGACAGCCCTACGTCAGTTTCTTAACCTCAGCACAGTGGAAATTTGGGGCTGTATAATCATCTGTTGCAGTTGCGGGGGGGTTGTCTTCTGCACTGCGAGATTTTTAGCAGCATAATTGACCTCTACCCACTAGATGCCAGTAACATCCCCCAAATCGTGACAACCAAAAACATCTCCAGACGTTGCCAAACTGTCGTGTGTATGTGTGTGCGTATGTGTGTGTGTAAAACCACTGTGTGAATCATCAGTGGACACGAGGTGTGCCTAAGGTTTCTGTCACTTTGGGTTCATTGGGGTGTATGAAGCATGTTTTTGAGAGACAGGGGACTTGCTGTGACTGCTAACTCTGCCAGGCCTTTGTGTGGTTTTTGAATGATACTAATTCCTCTTCTGTCATTCGCACTTACCCTCACAGGGTTGTGTGAGAACTAGAAGAGAAAGATCATATTGAGCATTTACTGTGTTCTAGGCCTGTTCTGGATGCTTTAAATAATTGATTTAATCTTTGTAACAGCCTCATACCATCCTCTGTGAGGTGGTATTACAATGATACCCATTTTATAGCTGATGGAATTGAGGTACAAAGAGTTTGAATAACTTGCCCAAGGTCATAGAGCTGGTGAGTAGCGGAGTTAGAATATAAACCTAGGCTCTGTGGTTCTCAAGTCCCTGTCTCTACCTACTTACCACACTGACCCTCTAAGTTAAGTGTATATGAACAGTTTAGAAATGTCGCAGCAGAAAATCCATTGTTAATAAGCTTCCTATGCATACCCAGACCATGCTCTCTAGGGCTCAGACATCCTACGCATCTAACAAGGAGCCTCTCTGTCATGGTATTCCCATTTGCATCGTTTACTTTCCATCTCTACAGCTTTACATTGTATACATCTTTGATGCCAGCCTCAAATGCCCACCTCCCAGGAGCCCTTCCTCTTAATTCCTCTTAATTTCCACATCAGGTGCTCTAGTGCTTCTTGAAGTGCCTTTCTGTTTATACTAACTCTGTGAAATTCATCTGCCTCTCTATCAGTGACATGTATGTGACATATCCCCCTCTAGCAGCAAACTCCTGGTGTTCAGCAGGGACCCTCACAGTGATAGTCCCTCGCAGTGGCCAACATGGAGCCTGGGCATTCTATGTATTGAAAGAGAAAGATTTCTAAATTGGTGAATGACTTGAGCAGATTATTGGATTGAATAATGACAATTTCTACCTATAACTGTTTATCCCTATTTTACAGATGAAACAACTGGGTTGGAGGAAGTCACCCAAAGAGGGATCTTTGTATCTTCCCCATCCCCAGAAACAGCAAGCAATGCAGATGTCATAAGTATATAGTGCAGAAATTAGCTGAGCACAGCCACTTGCCTAAGAGTGACTGAATTCTGCTGGATGAGCAATAGGTGGCAAGAGGGTCCTAAAAGTCCTAATCTACTGTAGGCAACACTCTCCTCACACCAGAGGCCATTTTCTCATTGCCCCGCCTCCACACTTTTTAGGTCATTGCTGTTGAGCATCACCTTGCACTGATAGACGATTTGCCACAAATGTTGAAAAATATCTCATTGATCAGGTTTCACTAACTGTCCAGGCAAGAGATCACGAAAGGACAGACCAGTTGACATGGGCCTGATTACTTTGCTTACAAAAGCTTTTTGTAGCTGTCCTTATCTGGGCTTTGTGCCTGTACTCTACAGTGTCAATTTCTTAGAGAGATTGAGCAGGGCTGCCAAGGGCATTCTTCTTTGTCAAATGTTTCACTTATTGAGTTTGTACCCAGGGAAACATTTATCTCTTGTGGCAGCATTGCTGCCATGCTTGCTTCAGACGCAGGTTCAGTCCCAGTGATCCTTAAGGAGGTCTTGTTAGAGCAGAAGGAATGGATGTTGAGTGAATGAGAGTAATTAGCTTGAAGATGTGTGATCAGAGTGTTGGCATAGTACATTGCCACAAGAAGTGAGAATCAGAGGCCTTCCACAGTGGGGCATGGATCCTAGTTAGCTCGCTGGAGATCACCGAGTGTTCCTTAGACACACCTTTGGTTGACCTTTATTTCAGACTCTGTTGTTAAAGGATACAATTCTACAAGGATTCTCTATTAATGAGAAGCAATAGCTGTATTTTATTCGTAGGTGATCTAAAGGGGGTTTTATCACAATCTCACTGTATCCTAATCCAAAATATATTAATGTCATCAAAACACACACAATATGTTCAGAGAGACTGTAGTTAAAATGGCATTGTCTCATGGACTGTTTTTTTCCCTTTTCTATCTACTTTTACAATAACCATGGGACCAGTGCATCCCTGAAAGAAGCAAAGTCTCTAACTATTGCATTATCAATTGCAAACGAAGTGCTACGTGGAACCATGTTTTATGATGCAAGGGGGAGAAAGAGTATAATTTCTACTTCTGATGCAAGAGGCAGAAATAGTCAACTTTGACGAACGATCCATGTTTGAAGATGCAATTAGAAAAACCTCTCTCTTACTTGTAAGATGAAAAAGCATGATACAGATGAGACTGAAAGAAATATCTAACTCTTAAGCATCCTGATCTAAGGAATTCAGCTTGATTTTCCCCCCAAGGCACAGCAATATTGGGGAAAAACAGCTCAGAAACTTGGGGTTTTTTTTTAAGGTTTATTTGTTCCAAGAAACTAACTTTCTTTCCATCTCTGACTTTTCACATCATATGAATTCAGAACACAGCCCCTGTTTAAAAATAATATTTCTTCAGAATAGAAAAATAAACTTGCCTGTACGTGGAACATTTCCAAAGAGAGAACATGAACAAACAGGTTTTTAATTTTAGGTGGAAAGTAGACCTTTTGGCCCACATTTAATTGCAGATAAGAAACTCCTGGATCCTGGAATTAACCAGCTACTTCCCAATGGTCGTTTATTTTAAACAAAAATTAAGATCAAGCTATTTATTTACAGAGGAAATAATTAACCATACACAACACACAGCTACATTAAAAGATCTCAGTTTTCCAGAAATCAAGTAGCGAAGGAAGTTTTCGTCATCATCTTACACCCTAGGATCATGCTGTCCTCCAAACAAGTAGCATTAAGCTGTTTCCATGTAAAAATAGAAAACCTGAAGAGCTGTACCTTATGAACTGAGTGGGGAAGTGCTTGTGTGACAGCTTCCAACCTCTGTGAGAGTTTAATCCTTATGAACTGTATCTTTACCCATATGACTTTCTATTCCAAAGAGCAAGAGTCTGACTTCTTCCGTTTTATACTCTGCTGGGTTTTGAAAATTGGAAGCACATTGTTCAATTAAGAACCAATTAATGTGACATTCCAGCATGAAAGAAGTGTTAGGCAAGAGGAACCCGCTGCAAACTAATCAGTTTAAAGTTTCATTGACTCATGATCTGCTGTTTCTTAAAGGCATGAGTGTTTTGCATTTATATCACCTCCAGCTCTTGGAACTTGACTGACTTTATAAACTATGCAGGGTCAAGTTGAGTCAGGATTGCATGGCGACCTTCCCAGAGTAGCCCAATTTCTGCAAAAATGTGCATACCATGGGTGTGTTCTTTCTCTCACATTGGTACTAAGTCGTTGTTTTGCAGCTGATACTCCTATTTACCATGTGACTCAAAGATAAATAGCAACCAAAATCTCAAAGGACCTGCATTGTAGTCTAGTTCTCTCAAACACAGTTTGTGCTCATGAACTTCAGTTTCCTCATCTCTTAAATGGAAGCAACAGGATCTGTTAAATGGAACTAAGTTGCTGTGTCACTCACTGTCTGAAAAGAATAAGCCCTGGTTTTTTGAATAAATGCCAGCCTCAGCAATTAGTCCATCAACTTAAATTCTTCTTGCAGTTTCAATTAGATTAGAACCCTTCCCTGGTTTCCACTCAGGCTGTTGTGCAACATTTTTGCAAGGCTAACAGCTGTCTTATTCTACCCTTGAGAGAGCTCTATTTCAGCTACTCATGCATTCCTAGTTCATAAAGCGCTCCAGGATCCAGTGGGTGAAAGGCACTGTCTAGCATCACAAGATGATATTTGTTAGTAGTAAATAAGCTATGGCAAAGAGGCAGGCAGTGATTACATTCTTGTTAACAAGTCACTCAATAGTCTAGTTGGCATCACTGTACCAAGATTTGGTTGAATATTGCAGAACTTGGAGTGGCATATTTTATAGGGTATATTTTTTAATGCTGAGAGGGAGGGAAGGGGGGAGGGAAACATGACAACAAAACTCCAAAGATAGATGTTCACGACCTGTCAGCATCATCTCCCATTTCAAAATGAATGTGCAAGGAGATGGTCCATGCAGTTGTTTAGCAGGTTTTTATTTTTTAACATCATTTAAGGCAGGTTTCCAAATAATATTCTAAGAGAAATAACCTCCCCAAAATTCTATTCAGACCCAGAGAGTTATATCCTATTTCATTTTCCTTCATCCTCTCCTTTTCCATCTTCATTTTCTGTTCCAGTCATTCTTACCTCCTTCCATCGCGTTCCTTTTCACTCTAAGAGACCTTAGCAAAGCTCCTCAGAATCTCCCTTCAACATTTCTGTTGCTCATTGTCCACTTGCATCCTTGCCCTTCCTTTCCCTTCTCTCTCCTGCTCTGAACCAGGGAGCCGGACCTTGGTGCCTCATGCACCCAGACTTCTTTGACAGCTGGCTTCAGTCAATGAATGGGAGGCAGGAAGAGAGGTATTTATTCCCTGTTCTTTCCCTGCTTTGGCCATGGCTTTACTACTGAACCTGTCCATAGCGCCTCATTCCACGCTACAGCTCTTACTGGGCTCTGGTAACAATATTTCCTCTCCTTGCCCTTCTGCCTAGGGGTAATAATAAATTTCTACTATTTCTAGTCTCTGGCTGCAACCACCTCGCTGATTCCTGACTCCGGTTCACACTTCTGCAATCAGCAATCAGTCCCTTCAGTAAAACCACTTTAGCTGGATTCTGAATCCTACCAGGACTCTGATTCTCTTCTCCTGCCTCCCATCTTTTTCTTTCTTTCTCTCTCTCTCTCTCTCTCTGTTTTATTTATTTATCTTCCTTCCCTCTTCTCTCCTCTCCTCTCCTCTCCTCTCCTCCCCTCCCCTCTCCTCCCCTCCCCTCTCCTCCCCTTCCCTCTCCTCCCCTCCCCTCTCCTCCCCTCCCCTCTCCTCCCCTCCCCTCTCCTTCCTTTCATTTCTTTCTCTCTCCCACACACAAGCACACAGAGAAAAAAAAAACACACAAAACTATATTGAATGTATGTGGAGCTTCCTACCTGATTTGAATTGATTCAGTGCCTGAATTCTCTCAAAGTCTGATATATAAGCCCTTATTTCTGTATTTATTGTTCATATAATGCACATGGAAGAATCAATCACTAAGAAATTTTACTTTATTTAGTGGTTATGCTGATATAAAGGTAGTAACAAAGCAACCATTTAAAATGAGAAAGTTATAATTAGTTTAGTTCAAATACTTTAATGACAGTGAAATATTAGCCAAAATAAAATTTCTATTTATTTGTATAATGAATGTCTTTTATATTTATTTTAACCTAGCCATACTAGTAGCTCTCTTAGGGATTAAGACTAATTTCAGAATACTCCCAAAGGAGTCCTATTAATTTAAAAGGCACTAAGTATTTAGTGAGAGGACTCAACTTTAGGTAGTACAAATTTACTCTCATTATATTATAAAAGATATTAGATTTTTTTTTTTTTTTTTGAGACAGAGTCTCACTCTGTTGCCCAGGCTCCTGCCTCAGCCTCCCAAGTAGTTGGGACTACAGGTGCCCACCACTACACCCAGCTAATTTTTTGTATTTTTAGTAGAGATGGGTTTTCACCATGTTAGCCAGGATGGTCTCGATCTCCTAACCCTGTGATCTGCCCGCCTCGGCCTCCCAAAGTCCTGGGACTACAGGCGTGACCCACTGCGCCCGGCCAATATTAGATATTTTTAAAAAGATAATGAAATATTTGTAGCTTGCATACTTCCTTTCTCATTACAATATTTGTCACGAAGATGAATTAATGTTGTGCCATCTTCCATTCTCATTACAATCTTGGTCTGGAGATGAAATACTGGATGTTTAATGTCTTTATGAATTGTAGCAGAAAACTGTATGATGTTGCCCTTTTTAATATTCTGGTTTCTGACTGGCTGGCATTTCTACTCCTCCTCCCCCTGAAACAGTTCCTACTAATATGGAAGAAAGGTTTAGGATAGGTAGCCAATGAGAGAGCAGAATATTAAAAAGGTCAACAGAGTACAGTCTTTTCTATAAATTCAAAAAATGCACTAAGACATTAAGATTCAAATACTATAACTCATACTTACAAGCAAAACATGTAATCATAATTGTAAAAAAAATCCCTGTTTTAAAACCTTCTCATTACCGTGATAAAAATACAATATAATTATTCAAGATTAAAAAGTCTCTTAAATATTTTATAAGAGATTGTGCATGTTTTTAAGAAGTCACAGTTACTAAAAATGAATATACAGCTCACTTTATTTGCTTTCCTTATGGTAAAACATTGTATTATTTCTTCTTTAATAACACTAATACCAACAGATAACTGTAGAAATGAAAATTTACTTTGAATGAATGCAATGCTATTCATGTTTCAGAATAAAGAATTCCTAATTTAGATTTTGGAAAATGAAAAAAAGATTTCAGATTTAGGATTCATATTCATCATTTTATTGGACATTTTTAAAAATCATACTTTAAGTTCTGAGGTACATGTGCAGAATGTGCAGGTTTGTTACACAGATACACACGTCCCATGGTGGTTTGCTGCACCCATCAACACGTCACCTACATTAGGTATTTCTCCTAATGCTCTCCCTCCCCTAGCCCCACCCCCAACAGGCCCCAGTGTGTGATGTTCCCCTCCCTGTGTCCATGTGTTCGAATTGTTCAACTCCCACTTATGAGTGAGAACATGCTATGTTTGGTTTTCCTGTTCTTGTGTTAGTTTGCTGAGACTGATGGTTTCCAGCTTCATCCATGTCCCTGCAAAGGACATGAACTCATCCTTTTTATGGCTGTATAGTATTCCATGGTGTATATGTACCACATTTTCTTTATCCAGTCTATCATTGATGGGCATTTGGGTTGGTTCCAAGTCTTTGCTATTGTGAACAGTGCCACAATAAACATACATGTGGATGTATTTTTATAGTGGAATGACTTATAATCCTTTGGGTAAATACCCAGTAATGGAATTGCTGGGTCAAATGGTATTTCTAGTTCTAGATCCTTAAGGAATCGCCACACTGTCTTCCACAATGGTTGAACTAATTTACATTCCCACCAACAGTGTAAAAGCATTCCTATTTCTCCACACCCTCTCCAGCATCTATTGTTTCCTGACATTGTAGTGATCGCCATTCTAACTGGCATGAGATGACATCTCATTGTGGTTTTGATTTGCATTTCTCTAATGACCAGTGATGATGAGATTTTTTTAATATGTTTATTGGCTGCATAAATGTCTTCTTTTGAGAAGTGTCTGTTTATATCCTTCACCCACTTTTTGATGGGGTTGTTTTTTTCTTGTAAGTGTATTTAAGTTTTTTGTAGGTTCTGGATATTAGCCCTTTGTCACATGGGTAGATTGCAAAAATTTTCTCCCATTCTGCAGGTTGCCTGTTCACTCTGATGATAGTTTCTTTTGTTGTGCACAAGCTCTTTAGTTTAATTAGATCCCACTTGTCAATTTTGGCTTTTGTTGCAATTGCTTCTGGTGTTTTAGACATGAAGTCTTTGCCCATGCTTGTGACCTGAATGGTATTGCCTAGGTTTTCTTCTGGGGTTTTTATGGTTTTAGGTCTTATGTTTAAGTCTTTAATCCATCTTGAGTTAATTTTTGTATAAGGTGTAAGTAAGGTGTAAGGTTTCCAGTTTCAGTTTTCTGCATATGGCTAGCCAGTTTTCCCAACACCATTTATTAAATAGGGAATCCTTTCCCCATTGCTTGTTTTTATCAGGTTTGTCAAAGATCAGATGGTTGTAGATGTGTGGTGTTACTTCTGAGGCCTCTGTTTTGTTCCACTGGTCTATATATCTGTTTTGGTACCAGTACCATGCTGTTTTGGTTACTGTTGCCTTGTAGTATAGTTTGAAGTCAGGTAGCGTGATGCCTCCAGCTTTGTTCTTTTTGCTTAGGACTGTCTTGGCTATGCAGGCTCTTTTTTGGTTCCATATGAAGTTTAAAGATGTTTTCCTCGGGAGGCTGAGGCAGGAGAATGGCGTGAACCCGGGAGGCGGAGCTTGCAGTGAGCCGAGATTGCACCACTGCACTCCCACCTGGGCCACAGAGCGAGACTCCGTCTCAAAAAAAAAAAAAAAAAAAAAAAAAAAAAAAAAAAGATGTTTTCCAATTCTGTGCAGAAAGTCAATGGTACCTTGATGGGGATAGCATTGACTCTATAAATTACTTGGGCAGTATGGCCGTTTTCATAATATTGATTCTTCCTAACCATGATCATGGAATGTTTTTCCATTTATATGTGTCCTCTTTTACTTCTTTGAGCAGTGGTTTGTAGTTCTCCTTGAAGAGGTCTTTCTCATCCCTTGTAAGTTGTATTCCTAGTTATTTTATTCTCTTTTTAGCAATTGTGAATGGGAGTTCACTCATGATTTGGCTTTCTGTTTGTCTGTTATTGGTGTGTGAAAAGACCAAATCTACATTTGATTGGTGTACCTGAAAGTGACAGGGAGAATGGAACCAAGTTGGAATACACTCTTCCGGATATTATCCAAGAGAACTTCCCCAACCTAGCAAGACAGGCCAACATTCAAATTCAGGAAATACAGAGAACACCACAAAGCTACTCCTTGAGAAGAGCCACCCCAAGACACATAATTGTCAGATTCACCAAGGTTGAAATGAAGAAAAAATGTTAAGGGAAGCCAGAGAGAAAGGTCAGCTTCCCCACAAAGGGAAGCCCATCAGACTAACAGCAGATCTGTCTGCAGAAACCCTACAAGCCAGAAGAGAGTGGCGGCCAATATTCAACATTCTTAAAGAAAAGAATTTTCAACCTAGAATTTCATATCCAGCCAAACTAAGCTTCATAAGCAAAGGAGAA
This sequence comes from Homo sapiens, assembly GCF_000001405.40. NCBI lineage: Eukaryota > Metazoa > Chordata > Mammalia > Primates > Hominidae > Homo > Homo sapiens. The sequence goes on along the minus strand of NC_000002.12, from coordinate 204,463,666 downwards.
ATAAAATCCTTTATAGACAAGCAAATGCTGAGAGATTTTGTCACCATCAGGCCTGCCTTACAAGAGCTCCTGAAGGAAGCACTAAACATGGAAAGGAACAACCGGTACCAGCCACTGCAAAAACATACCAAATTGTAAAGACCATCGACACTATGAAGAAACTGCATCAACTAATGGGCAAAATAACCAGCTAGCATCATAATGACAGGATCAAATTCACACATAACAATATTAACCTTAAATGTAAATGGGCTAAATGCCCCAATTAAAAGACACAGACTGGCAAATTGGATAGAGAGTCACGACCCCTTGGTATGCTGTATTCAGGAGACCCATCTCACATGCAAAGACACACATAGCTCAAAATAAACGGATGGAGGGATATTTACCAATCAAATGGAAGGCAAAAAAAAAAAAAAGCAGGAGTTGCAATCCTAGTCTCTGATAAAGCAGACTTTAAACCAAAAAGATCAAAATAGACAAAGAAGGGCATTGCATAATGATAAAGGAATCAATGCAAAAAGAAGAGCTATCCTACACATATATGCACCCAATACAGGCACACCCAGATTCATAAAGCAAGTTCTTAGAGACCTACAAAGAGACTTAGACTCCCACACAATAATAGTGGGATACTTTAACACCCCACTGTAAATATTAGATCAACAAGACAGAAAGTTAACAAGGATATTCAGGACTTGAACTCATCTCTGGACCAAGTGGACCTAATAGACATCTACAGAACTCTGTACCCCAAATCAATAGAATGTACATTCTTCTCAGCACCTCATTGCACTTATTCTAAAATTGACCACATAATTGGAAGTAAAACACTCCTCAGCAAATGAAAAAGAATGGAAATCATAACAAACAGTCTCTCAGACCACAGTGCAATCATATTAGAACTCAGGATTAAGAAACTCACTCAAAACCACACAACTACATGGAAACTGAACAACCTGCTCCTGAATGATTACTGGATAAATGACAAAATGAAAGCAGAAATAAAGATGTTCTTTGAAACCAATGAGAACAAAGACAGCATACCAGAATCTCTGGGACACATTTAAAGCAGTGTTTACAGGGAAATTTATGGCACTAAATTCCACAAGAGACAGCAGGAAAGATCTAAAATTGACACCCTAACATCACAATTAAAAGAACTAGAGAAGCAAGAGCAAACAAATTCAAAAGCTAGCAGAAGACGAGAAATAACTAAGATCCTAGCAGAACTGAAGGAGACAGAGACACGAAAAACCCTTCAACAAATCAGTGAATCCAGGAGCTGGTTTTGAAAAGATCAACAAAATAGACTGCTAGCCAGACTAATAAAGAAGAAAAGAGAGAAGAATCAAATAGATGCAATAAAAAATGATAAAGGGTGATCAGTGTGATCACTACTGATCCCACAGAAATACAAACTACCATCAGAGAATATTATAAGTACCTCCTACGCAAATAAACTAGAAAATCTAGAAGAAATGGATAAATTCCTGGACACATACACCCTCCCAAGTCTAAACCAGGAAGAAGTCGAATCCCTCAATAGACCAATAACAAGTTCTGAAATTGAGGCAGCAATGAACAGCCTACTAACCCAAAAAAAGTCCAGGACCAGATGGATTCACAGCCAAATTCTACCAGAGGTACAAAGCAGAGCTGGTACCATTTTTTCTGAAACTAATCCAAACAATAGAAAAAGAGGGAATCCTCCCTAACTCATTTTATGAGGCCAGCATCATCCTGATACCAAACCTGACAGAGACACAACAAAAAAAAGAAAATTTCAGGCCAACATCCTTGATGAACATCGATGCAAAAATCTTCAATAAAATATTGGCAAACCGAATCCAGCAGCACATCAAAAAGCTTATCCACCACAATCAAGTCAGCTTGATACCTGGGATGCAAGGCTGGTTCAACATACACAAATCAATAAACGTAATCCATCATATGAACAGAACCAATGACAAAAACCAAATGATTATCTCAATAGATGCAGAAAAGCCCTTCGACAAAATTCAGCAGCCCTTCATGCTAAAAACTCTCAATAAACTAGGTATTGATGGAACATATCTCAAAATAATAAGAGCTATTTATGACAGACCCACAGCCAATATCATACTGAATGGGCAAAAACTGGAAGCATTCTCTTTGAAAACCGGAACAAGACAAGGATGCCCTTTCTCACCACTCCTATTCAGCATAGAATTGGAAGTGCTGGCCAGGGCAATCAGACAAGAGAAAGAAATAAAGGGTATTCGAACAGGAAAACAGGAAGTCAAATTGTCTCTGTTTGGAGATGACATGATTGTACATTTAGAAAACCCCACCATCTCAGCCCCAAATCTCCTTAAGCTGATAAGCAACTTTAGCAAAGTCTCAGGTTACAAAATCAATGTATTTGGCATATTTTAATTGTTCAACAAATGTTATTGAATAAATGTATATGTAGGAAAGGTATGAATCCCTACAAACAAGTATAAAAAAAAAGAAGGGACTAAAAAAATACTACTAAGCTTTATAGTTCACTGGTGTGTTACTCTTCTTACAATACCTGATATATGGGTATTGTAAGACAACTGTATGAAAGAATGAGAGAGAAAGGAATACAAGAAGGAGAAAAGGAGTATTACCCATAGCCTGTGGATTGCAGTAGTACCCATCAGCTAACTTTTTTTTTAAAAAAAAAAAAAACAGAGTCACAGTCTCACTCCATCACTCAGGCTGAAGTGCAGTGGCACGATCTCACCTCACTGCAACCTCCGCCTCCCGGGTTCAAGCAATTCTCATGCCTCAGCCTCCCGAGTAGCTGGAATTACAGGTACATGCTACAACACCTGGCTAACTTTTGTATTTTTAGTAGAGATGGGGTTTCACCATGTTGGCCAGGCTGGTCTCGAACTCCTGACCTCAACTGATCCACCTGCCTCAGCCTCCTAAAGTGCTAGGATTACAGTCATAAGCCACCACGCCCGGCCCTCATCAGCTAATTTTTCATCTGCCCAGCAATTTTTCCTGTTGTTTTCTTGTCCAGCCCCAGTTAAACCATCCAGCCCCACCTTTCCTCACATTATCTTGGTTGACAAATCCAGTTTCTTTCTCTCCGGATACTATTTTGGTTGGAGGTGGGCATTTAACTCAACCACAGCCAAAGCAACACACAGTGGGGGACTAATATGGATGTTAAGTGAGAAAGGGGTTGATCTCTTATCCTGGTTCACTGGCTGTAAGGACAGAACAGCCTTGGAGTTGCTGTGGCCATCTCTGCCACTAACTAGAGAAAACTAGCTGCAGAAGGAAGCCAGCAGAGAAGAAAGCACAGTGAAGAGCTGGAGAGAGGGAGAGAAGGGCATGGTGACATCATGTGAATGCCTGGACTGGGCCTTATTTAAAACTAGTGCCTCTTCTTGAATGTCTCAGATATCAATTAATTAATTCCCTTTTTGCTATGGTAATTTGAACAAAATAACTGTCATCTACAGTTGGAGGAGTCTTAACTATAGAATTATAGCAAAGAGTTCTAAGATCCAGATGGACCCCAAGCATTAATTACTGAATAATAGATACAACCACTTTGAATTAATATGGTTGCTTTTGTTGATAAATTATAAATATATATTAATTCAGAGCAACTTTTTGTCATTATTGAATTAGTGAATATTAAACCTATTAGTGTGTAAACTCTGTAAATATATTCTACACTTGGGGGGAGATTTTTGTGTTTATACAGATTGGAAATCACTATTTAAGATAACTATAATTAATTTTCAATCTAGTACTATAGTTAATCACAACTAGTTCTCAAAAGAGCTATCAAAGTTTCTCTGATCTAAGAACATGGTTGCTAGTCTTACCCTGCCTATGAATCAATTAAACAGCTTTCATTATGTACAATATGCAGAGCACTCTCTACGATCCTAAGGGAAGTCCAAGTTTATAGGCACTCCAGGGGAGTGCCTTCAAGAAGCTGAACATGAAGCTCATATACATGATAATCAAACCAACACCATCATGTCAAAATAACTTTTAAGGGACTAGTGCCAATCACAGTTCCCTAAGAACTTAAAATCCATCTATTTTGCATATGTAAGAATGACAAAATGGTAAAAAGAACATACCCTAGGGAAGAGTACACGAGAGAGAGAGAGAGAGAGAGAGAGAGAGAGAGAGAGAGAGAGAAGCTACCAACTCTATATGAGGGAGGGAAGCCACCCAATTTCTTTATTCTACTGGTAAAATAGTTCAAAGCTCATTCTTAGAAGCCTGACATTTCCTGAACATGCAAGCCTGCTTTGTTGTGACCGAGACTATTCTAGGATGTCCTTCACTGGAAAGTGGTCACCTATAGT